>NC_000001.11:55159895-55311410 GCF_000001405.40 Homo sapiens | reverse complement strand
TCAGGGGACCCTGGGCAGACAGCCAAACCTTGTCCCCCAGCCAGAGATGCTGGAGGCTTTGGAATGTGGAGATGAGCGGTTAGGAAAGTGGTTCAATGACTGGGCAAAGAGCGGCATCTGGCACAGGAAAGACCAAGTGATAAATGCATTAAAATGCAAAGCAAAACACGTTGCAAAGATTGCTTATCTAGGACTAATGTGTAGCATCTAAAGCACAGTCTCCATGACCCAGTAGACCTGAGATTCATCAGATTCGGTCACTGACTAACAGGGGAAGCCGCTTGACCACTTTGAGCCTAGATATTTCCATCTGTAAAGTGAACATAATAAGGCCTCTCTCTCACAAGCCTTGCAGGGGCCTGGGAAAGTTAAAGAAAATACCAGTACATCACCAAGCATGGCCCATTTACTTAGGCCACGGAAAATAAGAGATACTCAGAGGATACCAAAGGATACTCAGAAGTTAGAAAGGAAAGGAACTGCTGATTGACTGGATGTGGGGGTGAGGGTAAGGGCAGAGGCCGGGCTGATGCTCAGATTTCTGCATGAACACACAAGTGGATGTTAAGATGTGGGAATCCCTCCCACACAGACCCCGGCCTGACTCATGCCTACCAGCCCCATGTATAGGAAGCTGAGTAATCCTCCACTCCTTCCTTCCTATTGCCAAGAATTTCTCTGGAAGACCTAGCTCCCATAAAAATAAACATAAGAAAAACAAATATTCATCAAGCATTTACTAAGTGCCTGCTGAGAACTTTACATGCATTACGTCATTGAAGCCTCACAACTACCTATGAGGAGGCAAGTACTATGATCCCATTTTACAAGTGAGGAGACTGAGGCTCAGAGAGGTGATGTTGGTGGCTCACCCAAGTCCTCCAGGTGAGTAAGTAGCAGATCCTGGCCTCAAAACGGGGCCTGCCTCTGGCCCACCTGAGCAGAGTCAGAGTTGCAACTCGCCTGTGCAGCCCATGTTGCAGGCGCCCCTCCTGGGAACCCACCAGGCCCAGCTGCTGCAGCTCCAGCACACCAGGCGGTCTAAGCCAGTTCTGACAGATGACTGATTTACTGGAGAGGCTCAGTAGGGAACAGCCGGGCACCTGAGTGAATTTGTGACCCCACAACCAGGTGTTCCTGCTGCCTGTTGACAGCACCTGGATTACGTGTGGCAGGAAGAGGAACAGGCCCCGGCCATTCAACACCATATCGCAGCACCGACCTGCTTTGGCTCTTGGGGATCTCCCGCTCTCAAATATTTGTGACCGCTGACTCCCTTGCTTCTCAAAGGGTGGTCCATGGACCAGCATCATCGCATCAGAACCAGCTGGGAGCTCACTGGAAATGTGGAAACTCAGGATCCAGCCAGGACCTTCGGAGTCAGCCTTCGCATTTGATCTCCAGGCAGCTGCAGTACACGTTGATACAGTCGAAAGAACACAAGACCACAAAGTCCAGAGACCTCGGTAGGAGTCCTGACCAGCCACTGAGAGGCTCTGGAACCTTGGGTGAGTCTCTTCTGAGCCTCGGTTTGCTCATCCATAAAATGAGAGTGTTTAGACCAGATAGTCTCCAATGTCAGCCAGAAAACACTCAGATCTGCTGGTGGAGGGAACAAAGGCCTGGGGAGTCAGACTCAAAGCTCCATAAATATTTTAATTAAATAAGCACATAATTAACTTCACAAATTTTTACGGCACACCTACAATGTGCTAGGCATTCTAGCCCCTATTGATAAAGAAGTCCTTGCTCTAATGGGACTTGTATTAATTTTCTAACTAATGAAATGGGGTTAAAACTCCAACTCTAGTCCTTAGTAGCTGTGTGACCTTAGGAACATGATTTAACTTCACCACTGTCTAGTTTTCCCACTTATAAAATAATAACAACAATAACAAGAGCAGCTAACCTTTATTGAGCACTTATTGTCAGACACTATTCTAAATGCATGCAAAAATTCCCTAGGAGGCAATATAACCTGAGTTCCAATCCTGATACCCGCCTCCCCACTTAAAGCTGCAGGACTTTAGGGCAGTTACTTGGCCTGTCTATGCCTGGGTTCCTGTGTTGGCTGCTGTGATGTGTCATGGGGTACCCCTTCCAGAATGAAGAACTTATTGCCCTCAGTGGCTGGAAGTGCTGTGGCAAGACAGCCCACAGCTGTCAGCCCTTTCTGGGAAGTCCGCTTGGGTCAAGAAAACTGACTCACTCAAGTTCATGTTCACATCAGATGTCTGATCAACATAGGAGTGCAAAGTCTAATCCCCTTACCCCACTTGGATCAACTGAAGGACCATCCAAGTTCCAGAGCAACCCATGGGGCCAGCTGAGGTCTTGGCTGAGACCATATTACAGCTCAAAATTTCCCTGGGCCCCTCCTGCCTCTTCCCTCTTCCCACCGGTGTTGGTCCCAAGAGCACTCCCTCTTAAACAGACTGCATGCCCATGTCCGTCTCAGAGTTGGCTTCCTGAGCAACCCAGTCTGCTGGATTCCCATCTATAAAATGAGAACAAGCACAACACCAACTTCATAGGGCTTTTGTGCACGCTACATGAGTAAACATATGAAGTGCTTAAAATCCCTGGAGTGTGGGAAGTGCTCTAAATGTACGTGCTGTCACTGTTATCATTGGTATTATTAGTTCATGTAATCCCATTAAGGAATGTATCTCCTTGGTCTCATTCTAAAGGGAGCAGCATGTGCAAGGGCACTGAAGCAGGTAAGTGTGAACAGGGAGCTAAAGAAGAAAGGCCCAGTAGCATAAGATGAGGCTAAAGGGGAGGTGTCAGGGGGCAGGAGGCCAGAGCATGTGGGCTCTCGCAGGCCATGGTAAAGAGTTTGACCTTCATTCTAATAGTTAAGAGAGTGGAAGACCCTTCCACTGAAGGGTCTTCAGCAGGAATGACACACTTACCCCTCAGAGCTGCCCAGCCCAGGGTTGGACCTCTCTGATGTTAGTGTCCACTCTTACTCCCTCTCAACAGCTCCCAGGAGTCTGTCTCTCCCTCTTCTCAGGACCAGCACAGAACCCTCTGCCCTCTCTAGCTCAGGCTCCCCAAACCTCCTCTTCTAGCTCAGGCTCCCCAAACCTCCTCTTCAAGACAACCGCTCTACTTCCCCCAATCACCTTTATGGGACCTGTTTTCAAGTCCCCTCCCCACTCCAGTTTCCTCTCCCAGATATCCAGTTTGTCTTTATCCTCTTGAAGTGGAACAGATTAGAACGACCTCCTGCTCCTGGTGAGGACCAGCCACTGCAAGGCAGAGCAGGACTGCCCTGCGCACAGCACCCCCACAAACACCTCTGGAGATGTACCCTGATGTTTCCTTTCTGTGAACCCTGAATGAATGGATGAATGAATGAATGATGAGTGATTGCATATGACAGGACTAGAATGTGTAAAAAGCCCATGGAGTCCATGCAGAATGCTACTCAGGATGTGAACTTAATTATGGTGAAGTCTCCCTGAGGTTGTTTTCAGACTAGCACTGCAGCGGAGAGACGAGCGCCAGCACAAAAGTAAGAATCCTGGACTGGGAATCACAAAGCCCTAGGTCTTCGTTCCAGCTCTGTTGTGCAGCCCTGCAGCACTCGACCTCTCTGGGCTCCCAGTCATCATCTATCAAGTCATCTCCAGGCTCTCGTCTAGCTCATTCATTCAGGAAAGAGCCATCCCACATGACTATTTTTCTAATGTCCACAATAAATATTTGTGGAGTGAAGAAAGGTCAGACTGGCCCAGGATAATATCTGGAGCAGGTATGGCATGGGGCTGGGTGAAAAAGGGAGTCTGCAGTCTCTTTCCCTCAGACCTCATTTAGTAATTAAGATGCAAGCAGCCACATTTTTAAATGCTATAAATGCATATATACTTTGTCCCAACAATTCCACTCCTAAAAATTTCTTCTACAGTTAAACCAGACTTATTATGTTATTCATCACTACACTGTTTACAATGATAATGTCTTGGAACAACCTAAAGGATAATCGATGAGGAACTGAGGAAATAAATTAATGCATCCCTATAATGGAATGTTAGGATACTATAAAAGAAAACAAGAAGTTCATTATGTGCTGTTATGGAAAAATCTCAAGATACACTGCTAAAATGAAAAAGTAAACTGGACTAGGACAGTGGTATACTGTGCTCTTTAAGTTAAAAAAAATCAGTTGAGAGAATAGTACTCTATGTTTGTGTACTGTATTAGTCTGTTTCACACTGCTGGTAAAGACATACCTGAGACTGGGTAATTTATACAGAAAAAGAGGTTTAATGGACTCACAGTTCCACAGAGCTGGAGAAGCCCTCACAATCATGGCAGAAGGTGAAAGTCACATCTTACACGGCGGCAGACAAGAGAGAATGAGAGCCAAGCAAAAACGTAAATCCCTTTTAAAACCAGCAGATCTTGTGAGACTTATTCACTACCATGAGAACAGTATGAGGGAACCGACCCCATGATTCAATTATCTCCCACTAGGTCCCTCCCATAATGCGTAGGAACTGTGAGAGCCGCAGTTCAAGATGAGATTTGGGTGAGGACACAGTCAAACCACATCTTGTACTGTGCATTTATATTTATATAAAACATCCCTGGGCAGAAAAACAAGGAATGAGCAACAGTAGCTACTTGCTGAAGTGCTGGTGGGCAGTATGAATTAGCACATTGGAGAAAGGGGAGGATGAGAATCTTTTATTCTTATATGTTTCTATACTTTTTGGTGTTTAAACCTATTACCTGGTGAAAGAAATAGGGAGAGAAAGAATGAGTCAGCTCCAATCATTGTATTCCAAGTCCCCTAGCAGGGGCTAATGCTAATCCCTTCTTCCATTTGTCTAGTGCTTCCCTCATTCCAAGCAAATTCACTTCTTTCACAAGATCACTGATGTGCAGAAGTGCAGAAATACTGGCATCTCTTTTTTACAGGTAAAGAAATTCAAGCTTAGCAAGAATAAATGACTTGTCCAAGAACACATTGGCAGAAAATCATTTTAAATGATTCTCGCTAAAAGTAGCAGAAGACTTAAATTTAAAAGAGCTTAAACCATAGAGGGCTTATTAATTCACATAGCAAGAAGTCCAGAAATAAGAGGAAATTCTACTTTTGTTTAACTCAGGGGCAGGAGATGTCATCAAAGGCTCAGGTGTTTACCATCCCTGTCCTATGCCATTCTCTGCATGTTGTTGAGGTCTCTCCTCCTTGTCACAAGACAGTGCAGCAGGGGTAACTTGAGGACATATTACCCAAAAAGGATGATATTTTTTCCCCCTGTGAATCTCTCCTATCAGCAAAGAAATTCTTTCCCAGAAGCCCCATAGCGAGTTTCTTCTCAGGTCCCATGGACCATATGATCAGTTGATATGTCCATACCCAATCCCAAAACTGACAAAGAGTTTGACACCACCATGGATGACTTAAACCAATATGACTCATCCTCCCAGGCGTGAGGATAGAGCCATTTCCCCTAAGCACCTAGTACTTCAAAACTGAAGCTTCATCAGTAAGAAATGACTGTTATGTACATTTACCCAGTGAGGTCTATCCTGGTAGTAAGTGATGTTATCACAATACAAAGCTGGGCATGATCTGGTTAACTAAATCATTACTAAAACTCATTATTCAGTAAACCTTTGCTGAGTACCTACTATGTGCAAGGCACTATATTAGGTGGCCTGAATTCAGAAATAAAAGGCATAGTCCTTTTAGGTCCTTCTTAGTCTAGTGAGAAATACAACAAACAATAAGCAAGTCCTAGCCAGCATGACCAGAAAAATGAGGAAAGCAGGCACAGGGAACCGTGGGGGAGAGAAGAGACAACGGACCCATCTGGAAGGTTAAGGACAGATTTTCTGGGGAAAGGGACTCATGAGATCTGATCTAAAAGAACAGAGTTAATTAGGTAAAGAGGGTCAGGAAGGATAGGCAAGGCTGAGTGAACAGCCTGTGCAAAAGGCTGGAGAGGAGAAACAGCACAATACCCTTGGAAACTATGCAAGTGGGCATGGGTGGAGGGGAGTGTTTATGGGGACAGGGCTGGGAAAAGAGCAAGAGGCACATCCTCATGAGCCTTGTCAATAAAACCTTTATCCAGGAAGGAGGAAAAAGTCAGACAATCTTAAATGGGTGAGCAACATCAGCAAATTTACATTTTTGAAAGAAAAGTAAGAAGAAAGACAAGAAAGAGTAATGGATGGAGACGTTTCCATTAATTATAGATTCTGAGAATCAGACACTGTCCTAGGCTTGGGGAATCCAGCTTGATTAGGGCAGAAACAGCCCCTGCCCTCAGGGTCTCATAGAGAAGCCGGTCATAGGCAACATGCTCAATACCTATCATCACTTGTAACCTCAGGTGTCAGGGAAGGCTCTGAGGAGGAAATGACATCCCGGAGATTTAAGGGTGAGAGGAATTAGCTAAGGGAAATAGAAAGGAGAGGTGTTCCAGGCATGTGCTAAGTTCCAGAAATACAAAACACTTGGTATAACCAAGGAACTGAGACCCCAGAGTAACTGGGGCTCAAAAACAAAGGACTTCAATGGCAACAAGGAGAGCTTAGAGGCAGCTAGGAGCCAAAATGCATGGGCTGTGCTGAGGGGCTCACATTTTATCAAGAGAAGAGAATAGAAGAAACACAATGAGGAAGCAGGAAAAAAGAATTGGAAGGCAAATTTCCTGAGTTTAAGCCATTTGAGATCATATTGGCAGTTAAAAATCCCAAGATGGGATATCAGAGCCTTACATGGAATCAGGCCATCCTTCCCAGCCAGGGTTGGTGTAATGGCCTCCAAGCCTATCTGCACCTCCCCCAGCCACTCAGGGGACCTCCTATCCCAACTCTCAGGCTTCAGGCCCCAAGGGAGAGACCATCAGAGATGAGTGATTTGCCCCAAGGACCAGCAGCAAAGGGCTTGCCCCTCCCACTGGCAGCCAGTGCTTCCAGGGGATCCACTGCAGATGGAGGCCATCAAAAAGAGATTAGCACAGCCCCTGAGACACCTGTAGGGAGGAGCCTTACTGGTCCCTTATTGGGAACTCCTCCAGCCAATGCTAACAGAAGAAACCGGAGCTCTCTTTGGCAGAAGCCAGAGAGGCCCTGGAAACACACTTTGCCTTTGGGGGCTTTTGCAAAATCTGTAATGGACTTGGGACTTGCAGAATGTAGAATTTTCTAGCCAAAATGTGTCAGATCCCACCTCTTAACCTTAGAGAAGAGGAAACAAAGCCAAAGAGGGAAAGTAACTTGCCCAAGGTCATGAAGCAAGTCATGGCAGAATGAATACTGGTATAGAAGTTTGAAGATTCTTCATTCAGTACTCTTTCCGATAATAATAACAATAAAAGCAGCTAAGATTTAGTGAGTATTTAATATGTACTAGATATTATTCTAAGTGCTTTGAATGTTTTAACTCATTTAATCAGCAGCACTACCCCATCAGGCTGGTAATAGCATGATTTCCATTTTACAAATGAAGAAACTGAGGAACAGAGAGTTTAAGTAACTCTCCAAAAGCTGCACAGCTAGAAGAGTTAGAATTTGAACTCAGGCAACCTGTATGTTTAAGACCACTCAGAACTGCAGATAGACCATCCAGCTCCTCAACTCCAACCTCACCTCCTCCAAAAGGCAGAATCTATTCATTAATGTGGACTCTCCTTTTTATCAGTTGGTCTGTTTTGGACCCGGGTGGGTTCACCTGCCTTCTCCTACCCACAGCCCTTCCTCAGTCTGCAACAGCCCCTGGTTTGCACTGAGAGTATATCAGTGCAGTATACTGACTCTTTTTCTCTGTGCTAAATTATTGCTCCCATCTCCAACAAACTAAAGGCAGAAACAAGGTCACACGCCAATATGCCAGCTGACCCATGCCTCTTCACTACTCTATACTTGGCCTTCTATCCATCTCTCTAGACTTGGCTCTCTATCCCTGGTGCCTAACTTGTATAGACTACATCAGTGGGCTTTCTTTCCCTCTAGTCAATGGGAAATATGATCAGAAGACTAGAGGAGAAGAGAAAAGAGAAATTGGGGTATTTATTCCTGCAGCTCCTGCTCTTTCTGGTTACTGCAGGCTGGCTGGATCCCTCACCTGCAGGTCTCTGCTGCTGTAAGGGGGACTTTCCATACAGCCTTGTCTTTTTCTGGTTCCAGTTACCACTCCTTCCCCATTCCTTCAGGGCTAGGAAAGGTAAAGAAGTTTCTCTGTTATTAGCTCCAGGGTTGTACAACATTCTTTGTGGCTTCCCTATACCCTGCCATACTGCCATAAATAGTTCCTCTATGACATTCTTGATCTGTCCTAATTGGAGTGTGCTGTCTGTTTCCTGACTGATGCACAGGCTATTCCTTGACCTTCTGCATGGTGCACTGTGCTGTAATCCAGGTGAACTGGGACTGGCACAGAGAAGCTGGTCGCTCGCTGGTGGTGCCCCTCCTAAAAATCTAACCAGAATTATCGTGCTAAGCAGCTAACTTCAGGGTCATCATTAAAAACAATTCTGAAGTCTAAAACCTAGTCTCCAGAACCATTAGCCTTAGTTACTGAGACTCAGTCACTTAGTCACATGTCCCAAGTGACTTCCCATGCGCCAAAGCATACACGTTATCTAATCCTGACAGCAACCCGGCAAGCTTTGTGTCATTATCCCCATTTTACAGATGAGGAACTGGGGCCCAAAGAGATAGAGCTCAGAACTGAGGTTGGTAAGGCTCTTTCCCTCCATCCTGTTCCTCTGTAGAACACCTGGGCTGGACGGGTGGGCCACAGCAGAAGGATTATTGGAAAAGGGGCAAAACTCAAAGTCCGGAGAGACCAGCTTGAATGGGGACACTGCACCTGACAGTTTGGAGTCAAATGACTCCAAAAGGGCTGGCAGAGGTTGAATAGGGCTTCAGGGCTCAAACATTAAGTAGTGACCCAGAGCAGGTGTTGGGAACATCTGACAGTTTTTATCTGCCAGGCATCCATTTCTCTTTCTTGTCCTTATAGCCTCATTTCCCTTAAGGAACTTCTACCTCCTACCACGCCCTGTCCATGCGGTTCAAATAGGGCTGCTGTGGCTCCACACTAATGCAGGGGACTATGCCTTAGAGTATTTAGGAGAGAATGATCCTTTCCTCATGATTGGTCTCCAATGGACACTTGACCCAACCTAGTACAAACTAAGCATTAGGGCTTTTTCTAAAACTGGGGCAGGAAGTGTCTTCTAAAACTAGGACAAGAAACACCTGCTAGCAGAACACAAGCCAGGAGCTGCTCATGGCCAACTTTCCCTCACTTAGGAAGCACCTGCCTGAGGATGCAGCAAATACAAAGAAGCACAGAGTTGAAAGACAGAGAAAAGAAGGAAAATCCCATCTCCATCACCAGAGTATCTAGTTTCAGTAATGCTTTAGTTCAGCACAATCCCTGCAGTTTCAGGAACTGGAAAGAAGCTGATCCAGTCCGTGATTTGCGTAAACCTATTTGAGTTGAGTTTCTGACATATGGAACCAAGAGTCCTGACTAATATAGAAGGTCTTAAACTTCATCAGGGAATTTGGGTACAGATTAGAAAAACTGAGGCAAAAGCCCAGGTGTATGGGACCCACTGGGAGAGGCTGCAATTTCCAACATTCCTCATTGTTGAGTACACTGGCCTCTGAAATCATGCTGCCTGAGTCTGCCTGGCTCGGCTATTTATTGCCTGTGAGAGGTGCCCTCTTGTGCCTCAGTTTCCTCATCTGTATGATGCAGACATTCAAAATAGTACCATTCTGCTAGGGCTTTTGATCAAATAGGATATCGCATGCGAATCATTTACAACAATGCCTGGCAAATTGTAAAGTCTCAATACACTTTGGGTCTTACTGTTATCTTAAGCCACACAGGCAACCGAGTCTCATTCCAGACAGCAAGGCTCATTTCAAATCCAAGGAGCTGAGTTAGCTGAAGCCAAGCCACTGGCCCTGCACCCTCGTCAGAGTGCCTCAGGGACTCTGGGGTACAGCCTGCAGGAGAAACTTCAGACCTGACCAGTCCCGATGGGATTAGGACAATGGGGGCCCCCAGACTGGCAAGCTAGGGGTTTCTGGACTAGCCAGCACATCCTTCAAATGTGGCTGCAGTCGCGGAGCCTGCTAGGAAGCCCCTTCCCCCACAACCATGACCACCACCTGAGTGTTGTGATGATCCTTTCATAACCACTAGCAGCCCCGGAGAGAGGCAGGAACCAGGCCAGGGCCCGGCCCAGATTCTGCCTGAGAAAGCACATTGCCAGGCCTGTCAATCACTTTGCATTTTTGTTGCTATGTCCAAAGATAGAACAGGATATCTTTGGTTAGAGAGGAAACTGTACGTTTTCTTTTATTAAATTAAAAGTGCTCCTGACCAAGAAAAAGAAAAACATGCATAGTGAGAAAAAGCCCTGGAGCAGGAGTCAGGAGGCCAAAGTTCTAGTCCAGGTCTGTCCCTGGCTCACTAAAGGACCTTGGCAAGTCCCATCCTCTCTCCGGACCATGCTTTCCTCAGCTGTAGAATCCTGATGGGAAGTAGCTGGATGGGGAGAAAGAAAGCAATTGGATGAAGTGGTCCCGGTGGCCTCCTGGTGACCAGCAAGTGGTTTGGAAACTCACTTTCACCACAGAGACTAGTAACTTGCACAGTTCAAGAAAATGAACTTTCTTCAGTCCAGTCCTGACACAGGTTCTCCTGCCCCATTCTTTCTCGCTGTTAGCTTCTCATCTCCTCCTGTGTCTCTCCTTAACCCACAGCTTTTGTCCTTTTCTCTCTTTCTTTTCTGTCCTTGGAGAGCAGGTTCTAAGAACTAGTTGATAATCTTAACACATGACCAACATTTGCATTAGCCCTTTGCAACTTAAAACTAACTTCACATGTATTGCTTCATTTAGCCTGAGATGAAGGGAATCCTCCCAGAGCGATATCCCCTACGGAAGACTTACTCCTCTCTATTGTCATTGCTTTATTGTCTTCCTTGTGCAGTGAAATCTCTACCAGTGTGGGGACTGCAACTACCCTGCTCATCACTGCGCCCCCAGTGCTAAAATGTAGTGCCTGTTATATGGTAGACTCATAATAAATACATGCTGAATAAACCAGCAGGCCAAATCAGCCAGACCTGGAGCTGATAGAATACGGAGCTTAAGAAAGAAGGAGTCTGGTATGGCTACTGGATCCCTGTTCTTGTGAATGGTCTCGCTGCTCACCTGGTCACTGCAGGAAAAGCGACAGAAATAGGAAGCAAATCATGGTAATAAAGGACCCAATCAGGGATAACTGGGACTTCCCCAAACTGAAGACATAAAGACTAATGCCCAAGTAATCCTTCCATGAGAGCTGGGAGAAGTCCTCGGGGTGGCTTTTATGGAGTCTGATCATTCTGCAGACCGTGACACCAAATCAGATGGTCTACAATATTTTTGTTGTCAGCAAGTCATCTGTGACAATTTAGACAAGGTAAGGGAGTATTTGGGCTTAAGTCAATCTGGAAGAAGAAAAGTTCCGTAAAAGCTTCAAGAAGGGAAAAAATAATAATAATAGTAAGCCCCAGTGAAGCCAATGTTTCTGATCCAGGTCAGACTCTGTAAAGAAAACCACATGGACTTCAGACATGTTGGTCAATTAGCTAAAGGGAGCATTCACCACACCTTCCAAATACTTTCTTCTTTTTGGGGGACTTTAGTTAATGAGCCAGAGGAAGTCTGGCAAAGAGATTGACAAATGGGAAGTGGATCACCTTAAAGAAGCCACTGGCACAGAAACAGAGAAATCTAGACTGGCTGGGATGCTCAGCATGTATTAAAATTCCCAAAATGTGAACTCACGCCTAAGTCACACAGTCAGTGGGCTGGCTGGAGAGGAGAGCAGGGCCCATAATAAATTCTGCAGACCGAAGTCATGCCACCAACACCAATCCCAAGACTAGGGCTGAGTCAGGGAAGGTAGAAAACTGAAGTTTGGCTGTGGAGTCTTAGGAGAGCAGGGCCCTCAGGCAGAATGTGACTTGCCTTGCTAGGGCTGTCCTAGCTTAGGCAGGCTCCGAAAGGAGGCGTGTGTGGGCCTTGGCCAGCAGCTCATCTAAGGGAATGAAGTTGGGGCTGAGGAAACCATGCAGGCCATGCACGGTTGTGTGCTAAGCAAGAGGGAAATATTGTTACTGGAGTCTGGGGGGACCAGAAGGACCTTCACAGGCCCTTCTTTATCATTCCCATCATGTTGGTGCTCCCCAGGATTCAGTCTTGGCCTGCCTCTCCTCTCAGTTACTGCCTCCAGCTCCAACCTGACTCGTGAGATCCAGATGCATTCTGCAATCTGCCTACGGGACTTTTCTTACTGGGTGTCTCATGGGCCCTTTGAACTCAAGATGCCCCCAGACCAGACTCATTTTCCTACTTCCTGCACAACACTGTTCCATCCCCAAGTCCAGTTTGTGAGTGAATGGCAGAACCATCTACTCAGGCACTTGAGTCAAAAACCTGGGTATTGGCCTGACCTCCTCTCTTCGTGACATCCTCCATCTGTAAATAGTCAGCAAATCTAGTTCTGCCTCTTAAATGGATCTCAAAGCCAGCATCCCTCTCTACACCCTAACTAGAATACATCAGGTGACTGTAGGTGCTTCCCTATAGATCCTGTGGTAGGTACAGCCAACCCACAGTAATTCAGAGACTGGAGGGCTGTGACCCTTTTGCTTCTCCTCCTGTTGAGATGCAAATGTCCCTCCTCAGCCTTGAATCCTAAAACCTAGCCGACCAAGCCAGCTCTCACAGGACTTGGGATCTTAACTCTTTGCCCTCAGGTTCCTCATTTCTTCCTTAGCCTCTGCTCCTGACCTGGCCCTAGCCAGGCACCCCATCTGCCCCTGCTTACTCTGCACAGAAACCTGCTTGTCTCTTTCTCCTTGTCCTCGCCATCCCCCGCCTCATCCTCTGAACTGTTCTGAGTGTCAGTGCCTCTCCTGATTGAGCCTTTCAGCTTGGGTTTGGCACCTTCTCTGAGTTCCCAGAGCCCTCTGTGTGTCCCTGTCACCGCATTCATCTCACCATATTGAATTCTCCTCATCACTTGTATAATTGGCTCCTTGGCAAGGGACGCTTAAAGTGAGGTCAGTTTCTGTCGTATCTAGAAATAAGGCAGCAAGTCACTTTTAGAGAAAATCACTCAAGTACCTAAATCAATGGCTTAACATCATTAAAGGTTTACTTCTCGGTCAGGCGCGGTGACCAACGCTTGTAATCCCAGCACTTTGGGAGGCCAAGGCAGATGGATCACCTGAGATCAGAAGTTCAAGGCCAGCTTGGGCAACATGGTGAAACCCCATCTCTACTAAAAATACAAAAATCAGCTGGATGCAGCGGCACATGCCTGTAATCCCAGCTACTGGGGAGACTGAGGCTGGAGGAACACTTGAACCCAGGAGGCAGAGGTTGCAGTGAGCCAAGTTCACATCACTGCACTCCAGCCTAGGCGACAGGGCGAGACTCCATCTCAAAAAAAAAAAAAGAAAAAAGAAAAAAAAAAGGCTTGCTTCTCCCACTGCAGTTGGTGGGGGTGGGAGGTCTTACTCTATGCGTTGTTCAGGAACCCAGAACCCTTCAATGTAGGTCCTCGGAGACTTCTCCATACAGCAAGCAGGTCAGGAAAGAGCAAACACCACATGTGAGCCAATTCTAGAAGTTGTGCAGTCACCTCCACTCATGTTCCCCTGGCAAGAACACACTTACACGATAACACCTAACTTCAAGGTAGTCTGGAACCATAGTTGAGCTCCATGCCCACGAAGAAGAAAAGAACATGAATATTGCTGAGCACCAGCATTTTCGGCCATACCTGGCCATGATTACCAGGCAAGATTTTGTCTGTGTGATTAGTTACCAAGTTTAACCTTGGGGAAGAGAACCTTCCTTCTTTGAAGAAACCTGGACAGGAGTAGCAAGAAAAATAAAGGCAAAGGCCCCTTCGGATTCTCATCACTGCCATTGCTACACCAATTCCCTACTCCAACCACCCTGGCAGTCATCAGCCCATCTCAAGGCAAGCCATCTCCAGCGGAAGGTAGGGCACCTCCTGTCTTGAAGGGTAAGGTCTGACCACAGTGTTCTTGTGATGACCTGGGAGTCTATAGGACTTGGCCTCTCCACACACACTAGTAAGTTTCCATGGAGTCATAATGAGGTTACTGGAGGAGAAGGCATGGGCTTCCTCCAAGTAAGAGCAGGACAGGGGTAACGAGAAGATTGTACTCTGGGATACCACTGAGAAGGACCATATCTGTATCCCAAACCATAAGGTCAGAACTTTTCATTGTATTAGCTGGTCTTTTCTTTTTTTTTTTTTTAATTATTATTATACTTTAAGTTCTAGGGTACATGTGCACAACAGGCAGTTTTGTTACATAGGTATATATGTGCCATGTTGGTTTGCTGCACCCATCAACTCGTCATTTACATTAGGTATTTCTCCTAATGCTATCCCTCCCCTTGCCCCCAAACCCCCAATAGACCCTGGTGTGTGATATTCCCCTCCCTGTGTCCATGGGTTCTCATTGTTCAACTACCACTTATGAGTGAGAACATGTGGTGTTTGGTTTTCTGTCCCTGTGATATTTTGCTGAAAATGATGGTTTCCAGCTTCATCCATGTCCCTGCAAAGGATATGAATTCATCTTTTTTTTTTTATTATACTTTAAGTTCTAGGGTACATGTGCACAACGGGCAGGTTTGTTACATATGTATACATGTGCCATGTTGGTGTGCTGTACCCATTAACTCGTCATTTACATTAGGTATATCTCCTAATGCTATCCCTCCCGCTTCCCTGATCCCACGACAGACCCCGGTGTGTGATGTTCCCCTCCCTGTGTCCAAGTGTTCTCATTGTTCAATTCCCACCTATGAGTGAGAACATGCAGTGTTTTGTTTTCTGTCCTTGCGATAGTTTGCTGAGAATGAGAACTCATCCTTTTTTATGGCTGCATAGTATTCCATGATGTATATGTGCCACATTTTCTTTATCCAGTCTACTATTGATGGACATTTGTGTTGGTTCCAAGTCTTTGCTATTGTGAATAGTGCCGCAATAAACATAGGTGTGCATGTGTCTTTATAGCAGCATGATTTATAATCCTTTGGGTATATACCCAGTAATGGGATTGCAGAGTCAAATGGTATTTCTAGTTTCAGATCCTTGCGGAATTGCCACACTGTCTTCCACAATGGTTGAACTAATTTACACTCCCACCAACAGTGTAAAAGTGTTCCTATTTCTCCACATCCTCTCTAGCATCTGTTGCTTCCTGACTTTTTAATGATCGCCATTCTAACTGGTGTGAGATGATATTTCATTGTGGTTTTGATTTGCGTTTCTCTGATGACCAGTGATGAAGAGCATTTTTTCATAAATGTCTTCATTTAGCCCTTTGTCAGATGTATACATTGCAAAAATTTTCTCCCATTGTAGGTTGTCTGTTCACTCTGATGATAGTTTCTTTTGCTGTGCAGAAGCTTTTTAGTTTAGTTAGATCCCATTTGTCAATTTTGGCTTTTGTTGCCATTGCTTTTGGTGTTTAGTCATGAAGTCTTTGCCCATGCCTATGTCCTGAATGGTATTGCCTAGGTTTTCATCCAGGGTTTTTATGGTTTTAGGTCTTACATTTAAGTCTTTAATCCATTTTGAGTTAATTTTTGTATAAGGTGTAAGGAAGTGATACAGTTTCAGCTTTCCACATATGGCTAGACAGTTTTCCCAGCACCATTTATTACATAGGGAATCCTTTCCCCATTTCTTGTTTTTGTCAGGTTTGTTAAAGATCAGATGGTTGTAGATGTGTGGTGTTATTTTGGGGCCTCTGTTCTGTTCCATTGGTCTATATCTCTGTTTTGGTACCAGTACCATGCTGTTTTGGTTACTGTAGCCTTGTAGTATAGTTTGAAGTCAGGTAGCATGATGCCTCCAACTTTTTTCTTTTGGCTTAGGATTGTCTTGGCAATACAGGCTGTTTTTTGGTTCCATATGAAATTTAAAGTAGTTTTTTCCAATTCTGTGAAGAAAGTCAATGGTAGCTTGACGGGGATAGCACTGAATCTATAAATTACCTTGGGTAGTATGGCCATTTTCATGATATTGATTCTTCCTATCCATGAGCATGGAATGTTCTTCTATTTTTTTCTGTCCTCTTTTATTTCATTGAGCAGTGGTTTGTAGTTCTCCTTGAAGAGGTCCTTCACATCCCTTGTAAGTTGGATTCCTAGGTATTTTATTCTCTTTGAAGCAATTGTGAATGGGAGTTCATTCATGATTTGGTTCTTTCTTTGTCTATTATTGATGTATAGGAATGCCTGTGATTTTTGCACATTGATTTTGTATCCTGAAACTTTGTTGAAGTTGCTTATCAGCTTAAGGAGATTTTGGGCTGAGATGATGGGGTTTTCTAAATATACAATCATGTCATCTGCAAACAGGGACAATTTGACTTCCTCTTTTCCTAATTGAATACCCTTTATTTCTTTCTCTTGCCTAATTGCCCTCGCCAGAACTGCCAATACTATGTTGAATAGAAGTGGTGAGAGAGAGCATCCTTGCCTTGTGCCAGTTTTCAAAGGGAATGCTTCCAGTTTTTGCCCATTCAGTATGATATTGGCTGTAGATTTGTCATAAATAGCTCTTATTATTTTGAGATACATTCCATCAATACCTAGTTTATTGAGAGTTTTTAAGCATGAAAGGCTGTTGAATTTTTTCAAAGGCCTTTTCTGCATCTATTGAGATAATCATGTGGTTTTTGTCGTTGGTTCTGTTTATGTGATGGATTACGTTTATTGATTTATGTATGTTGAACTAGCCTTGCATCCCAGGGATGAAGCCCACTTGATTGTGGAGGATTCACTTTTTGATGTGCTGCTGGATTCGGTTTGCCAGTATTTTATTGAGGATTTTTGCATCAATGTTCATCAAGGATGTTGGTCTAAAATTCTCTTTTTTTTGTTGCGTCTCTGCCAGACTTTAGTATCAGGATGATGCTGGCCTCATAAAATGAGTCAGGGAGGATTCCCTCTTTTTCTATTGATTGGAATAGTTTCAGAAGGAATGGTAACAGCTCTTCTTTGTACTTCTGGTAGAATTCACTGTGAATCCATCTGGTCCTGGACTTTTTTTAGTTGGTAGGCTATTAATTATTGCCTCAATTTCAGAACCTGTTATTGGTCTATTCGGAGATTCAACTTCTTCCTGGTTTAGTCTTGCGAGGGTGTATGTGTCCAGGAACGAATCCCTTTCTTCTAGAGTTTCTAGTTTATTTGCGTAGAGGTGTTTATAGTACTCTCTGATGGTAGTTTGTATTTCTGTGGGATCAGTGGTGATATCCCCTTTATCATTTTTTATTGCATCTTTTTGATTCTTCTCTCTTTCCTTCTTTATTAGTCTTGCTAGTGGTCTATATATCTTGTTGATCTTTTCAAAAAACCAGCTCCTGGATTCATTGATTTTTTTGAAGGGCTTTTTTGTCTCTATCTCCTTCGGTTCTGCTCTGATCTTAGTTATTTCTTGTCTTCTGCTAGCTTTTGAATTTGTTTGCCCTTGCTTGTCTGCTTCTTTTAATTGTGATGTTAGGATGTCGATTTCAGATCTTTCCTGCTTTCTCTTGTGGGCATTTAGTTTAGCTGGTCTTTTCTGATAAACTCTGAGTTACTGAGAGACAGAAATTCTCTTATTTATCTCTAGCCCCAGGGCCTGGGGCAGAATCTACTGGCAAGAAGTGATCACAAATCCAGCTCCTCCCTGGACCACACCACTCCTAGAATCTAACCTGGGAGAACTGGCTCCAGTTAACCAAGGCAACCAGGCATCAAGGACAGACCAACAGAAAACTTCACTCAATACTGTGTTCCGTCTTCCAGATAAGTCACCGGAAGCCACAAACTCTAGAGGTCTCATTAAATTCAGTCCATTTGGTTATTGTCTACTAAATACATATAGAAATCAGAATTGTAGATCAAAATACAAGTTGGAACATGATGGGGTACTACATGCTCCTAAGTGAAGGGGTGAAATGTTTATTAAGCACTGGGTTGGGGATGTTTCATTCATTAAGTCATCTCATCTCATAAGGACTGCATAAAGTAGATATTTAGATATCATTTTTCAAGTAAGAAAACAGAAGCTTAGCAAGTGCAAGTAATTTTTCTGAGGCCACCCAGTTAGTGAATGACTGCATCAAGATTTGAACTCAGAACCAGGCACAGTGGCTCACACCTGTAATCCTAACACTTTGGGAGGGCAAGGCAGGAGGATCACTTGAAGCCAGGAATTTGAGGCCAGTCTAGGCAACATAGTGAGACCCATATCTCTACAAAAAAAATTAAAAATTAGCTTAGTGGGATGCACCTGTAGTCCCAGTTACTCAGAAGGCTGAAGCAAGAGGATGGCTTGAGCCCAGGAGTTCAAGGATACAGTGAGCTATAATCTCACCACTACACTCCAGCCTAGGCTACAGAGCAAGACCCGGTCTCTAAAAAGAAAAAAAGATTTGAACTCAGGTCCTTCTTCCTCAAAGCCTGCCATCTTTTCACATACTATGAGGCCCACACTCCTCCCACCAACAGAGGCTGCTAAGAGTGAGCCGCAGCCAAGGAGTCAGCACTTCTGAGAAAGCCAAGGGGCAGAGGCATTGCTTGAAGTGAAGCCAAGCAGTGATGGTGGGAGGGGAAGAGAAAAGGAAAGAGCACACGCTGAGGGCCCACAGCATGCCAGGCATGGGGCTTGACGCTCCCCACATGGTATTACATCTCTTCCTCACAGCGGCCTAGAAAAGAGGTGTAATTATCTTCATTTTACAGAGAAGGAAAGTGGGCACAGAGAAGTGAAGTAACTAAACAAAGTCACAAAAACTGTAATGGAGCTGGAGATTGAAAGGGTAACTCAGGAAGGGCTGAAGATTCCATTGCCAAGGCCCCTGCCTGACACGTCCACTGCCACCCCTGCTGGATTATATCTAATCCAAGATGCTGCCTGATCCAGAAGGATTTATGAAGGCAAAATGCTGGGTGCATCTGGCTAGAGCCCAGCCCTCCTAGTGGCTCTGAAATCCAAGATGGTGAATCCCTGTTAACACTCAGACCAATGGTACTGGGGGCTGCAAACTTTGGGGCAAATGCAGGACAGATCCTGAGCCCCCTGCTCACCACAGGCCCAGCCTCGGGGGAGGCCATATGGGAGCACTTTGCCTTCCCTTGGCCACCTCCCACTTGTATTGCTCGGCTCTGATCTGTGTGTGTATTGTACTTTAAGAAGAAAAGGCTGCAGAGACAAACAAGGAATAAAATCGGATAACACAGAAAACCTCAAGTACAAGAATTGCTGCCAGACCAGGTGCGGTGGCTCATGCCTGTAATCCCAGCACTTTGCCAGGCGGATCGCTTGAGGTCGGGAGTTCAAGACCAGCCTAGCCAACATGGTGAAACCCCATCTCTACTAAAAATACAAAAATTAGCTGTACATGGTGGCATGCGCCTGCAGTCCCAGCTACTCGGGAGGCTGAGGCAAGAGAATCCCTTGAACCCAGGAGGCAGAGGTTGCAGTGAGCCAAGATCACATCACTTCACTCCAGCTTGAGCAGAACAGTGAAATTCCGTCTCAATAAAAAAAAAAAAAAAGGATTTGCTGCCATTTATGACTGCCTGTCATTTAGAATGCTAGCTTGCTAAAATCTTTTTCTAGTCCTGGTTCAAATGCCACCTCCTTTAGGAAGCCACTCCCTGGAAGGAATGCCTCTCTCCCTCTCCAATCCTCTGTGTTATGGTTAGATTTTTAATTATCATATTCAGCCCAATAATTAATTATACTTCCTTACTAAATTGTGGTCGTATTGAAAGCAAGGACCCTGCCCTCTTTGCAGTAATAAAAGTAAACTAATAGCCACCATCTGTCGGGTACTCACATGTCCCACATGCTTTATATTCATTATCTCCTTTGATACTCATGATATTCTGTTTTTTTCCACCATTTGGAAACTGACATTTAGAAAGATTACCCACAGGGTCAAGGTCCAAACTCAGATCCAAGGGTGAGCGCCTTCCAATAAGCAATGATGCACAAAGTATTTATTATAAAAATATTTGTTCAGTATTTGTGAATTCATGGGCTCCAACCCTGTCGCCCAGTGTGTCAACTAAAACGGAATGCAATAGCATTTCAGTTTTCCATTGCTGTATAATAAACCACCCCCAGCCTTAGTGGTTTAAAGCAACACCCATTTTCTTTGCACTTCATTCTGAGGATCAGGAATTCTGGCAGGGCTTAGTGAGAACCACTCCTCTCTGCTCCATGCAGGGTCTATGTTCTTCTCCATGGCCTGTCTCTTCTTGCCATGGCACATGTGTTTCCCTCTGACTGAAAACAAAGTCTTCTTAAAAGGCTCCTTCATCTCAGAGTGTCAATTCTGCTGCATTCTACAACAGGCCAAAGCAAGTAACAAGTGCAGACTAGATTCAAGAGAACACAGAGATCAACTTCAGCCTTTGTTGGGAGGGGCAAGCAAGATCACATCATGAAGGACATGGACCTAGGAGAAATGATCCACTGGGGCTGGGATGGTTAACCTGATGTGCTCTCTTGGCTAGGCTGTGGGGCCCAGGTGTGGTCAAACACAAGTCTAGATGTTGGGGTGAAGGTATTTGTGGATGCGATTAATATTTATAATCAATTGACTTTAATTGAAGCAAATTTCCCTCAATAATGTGGGTGGACCTCATCCAATCAGTTGAAGGCTTTAAGAGCAAAAACACAGATTTCCTGAAAAAGAAGCCATTCTACCTCAAGTCTGCAACAAAGAAGCAGTGGAGTTTCTGCCTGGGTTTCCAGCATGCTGGCCTGTCGCACAGATTTTGGACTCAAGACTACATCAGCTCTATTGAATTGCCAGCCTATTGAGCAGTCATCCAGGCTTTAGACTTACCAGGCCCCTCAATCATGGGAGCCAATTCATTAAAATAAACCTCTCTCTCTTTCTCTCTCATGTTCTCTCTCTTGCTCTGCATATGTGTATACACATACACAAACATATACATATATAATAGTGTATGTGTGTATATATATATATATATAACAGTGTGTGTATATATATTAAAAAGCATGTGTCTGTGTCTGTGTTTGTATAAAGTAGTGTATATATACACACTATTAGTTCTGTTTCTTTGGAGAACCCTGAAAATACATGAACCATTTTTAACAATCTACTGCAAACACAAAAGATAGGTTCTGATCAGAACATAGGGCTGTGGCATTAACTGTCCACTACCTTGAAGAGAGGGAGATCATTCCTAGTATGATCTGGAAATCAGAACAGAGCTGCCTCAGACCTGGGAGTTTTCATGAATGTTCTTGTTTTTCTGCTTTGGCCAGGGTTTGCTATGATAATCACCACATACACTTCACAAATTATCTCTTTTAGAGAATGGCACAGGTTCTAAGTTAAATCTTTGCTAGATCCCGCACAATCTGGTAAGGGTGCCACTGCTGCCACTGCTGGACCCTGGGAACTACCACTGGCACCTCCCCTGCCCCCAGTGGACACGGGGCATGAAGCAGGCACTGCTGGCTCCAGAATAAATTCTGCCTTGCCCCTGAGTCACTCGCTACAAATCCAGAGCATTTACAGTGGACATTTCACTACCTGGAAATTTTACTATGTGGAGAATTCCTCACCGGGCAGGAAGTAGAAGAAAAGGAGGCTAACGGGAAAAGATTCAAGTCTACCAACTAGAGCCAGGAGAGACCTGGCCTCACATACACACAGCCCAACCTTCTCCAACTCACAGATCAATACCAGACATTTACATTCAATACCCCCATTATTGCGTGTGACGAACCATTTTAAGTTAGTTCACTACCTGTGTAATGAGCTGTGTGAGTTCCCAGCAGGAAGCAGGGAGTACACTCAAATCTATAATAAAGGGACTATTCTTAAAGATGTGAGCAGACTTTAAGGAAACCAGCAAGGGTAGTGAAGTGCCCTGGGGTTAGCCGCAGCTGCGCTGCCTAGAACTTAGCCACCTCTGGTCTTCTGGCTGGGAGAATGCCCTCTGTCCCTCCTACCCCAATTTCCTGCCTGTGCCTTGTTCAAAAGTTAGAGGCTGCTGAAGCCCATGGAAGCAGTCTGTTAGGGAAGGGAATGGTGCTGAGGAACAAATGACGGGCACCCAACGCACAGTCCTTCTGCAAGGCAGCACACTGGCAGTGTCTCTAAGCACTGCTTTCCCCCTCATGCCTGGCTTGGTAGTCTTTAAAATCCCATTTTAAGCTGAGTGTTATGGGATGCGCCTGTAGTCCCAGCTACTCAAGAGGCTGAGGTAGGAAGATCCCGCGATCCCAGGAGTTTGCAACTACAGTGAGCTATGAGGGCACCACTGCACTCCGGCCTGGGCAACAGAGCAAGATGCCAATTCTTACAATAAATAAAGTAAAATCCCATTTCACTCAATTAATCATTTGTAGGGCAAAGAAAGAGGATAGTAGACTGAATTTGTCCCAAGCCACCAAGAGATGTCCTCTGAGGCTCAGTGCTCTGACCTATAAATTACAGATAGTAATTTTTACTTCCCAGGGTTGCTGTGTGAGTGTTCAATGAGCTTGTATGCGTGTAGAATCTTTATAAAGTATAAAGCAACATACAGAGATGCTCTGCTATGACTGATGAGGATAGAAGGGCCACAGACATAAAGCCACACATCACAGTGAAGGATGACCAGGTCACTCCAGCTCCTTTACTTCACACCTAACACGTCACTCCTCAGATACAGGTACAGGTGAGTTCCCAGAGCCCCAAGAAGCCGCCTCTGCTCTGATGTGCCAGCAGTGAGGAGTCTAGTCCAGGCCCCTGTAGCGTCAGTGATGACCGCCTGGATGGGCAAGCAGGAAATGGTCCCCTCGTCAGCATGACTGAGGAGCTTGAGATGCATGAACGTCAGCCCAGTTTCGGTTTCAGGAACGTTCTTTTCTCCCGAGAGGCCCCATGGGAGCACTTACACCCACAAGGATTATTTAGGGGCGTATGAAGTCAGTGAGGATGGCAAAGAGTGCTTTCCCCAGGGAACAGCTTTATAGGAGCTGCCAGCCAGAGACACATGCACAACGCAGCGGGGCCCACGGCTGTCCCTCTGCATCCTTACAGGACCCTCACTAAGCCCTCGGCAAGAATGGCTCCAGAATTTATGAGACCAAAAGAGGCTCTGAAATGGCTTTTATTTTAAAAAGAAATTGGAAAAATATAGCGGAAACAGTGAGACTCACCCTCTGCAGAGGGGATGAAGCAGCATGTCAATGGAGATGGTGCCACAGCAACTACCGCACGTGCCCACTCGACTTCTGAGTGAAACGTCCGTTTTACTCAGGAAGGAGAACACCTCCGCTCTGCTTTCACAGCCAGTGGCTCCCCACTGCCTACAAGACAATGCTCAAAGCTCCCCAGTCTGGCATTTCAGAGCCTCCTCAGCTGGCCCCACCCAGCTTTTACAAGCCTACTTCCCAGTACCACGCTCATGGACTCACAGTTCTGCTTCATGTGGCAGTCAGAGGCATAAGCTTCAAAGTGTAATATACCACGTTTCTAATCTGGGCTCCATCCCTTACTAAGCCGTGTGACTTAAGGCAAGATCTTTAACCTCTCTGACCTGACTCAGATTCCACATCCTAAAAAATAACAGCATTTGCCACAGATTAAATGAGATTATTCGTACAAAGCCTTCAGCGCATTATGTAGCCCATAACCCAACTATTGTGGCTGCTGCCAAGCCAAACTCTTGGCTGTGCCCTGTCCTTGGCCCCCAGAATCCTGCCTGCCCAGCCTCTCACCAGTGTGAGCCCAACCCGAGTTCCACATTGCTGCTCCAACCACGTGTATCTCTCCCCTGGCCCTGATCTCCACTCCTCTCTCAAGACACCAAGTAACCACACTCACCCTGGGAAGACCACAGCCATGGGATGGAAATACTACTGGATTCAACACCCGAAGACCCTGGTTCAATTCCCCACCTCTCCAGTGACTCAACACCTGACCTTCCACCGGTGACTCAACCTCTCTGGCCTTCTGTTTCCTCTTCTCTGAGAGGGGGAAAATACCCCTTTCTACTTGTTATAGAAAGTCAACAGGATGATATATGTGAAAGGACTTTGTAAACTCTGAAATGCTGTGGAGTGTTAGGAAAAAATAAACTGTTAAGTTTTAGGGCAATAGTAATACTAAGCCATAAAAACTAATTTTTTTATGATTTGGTTCTTCATTTGTGGTTTGTAACTTTTCTACTGGAAAACCCAGTGTACTGACTCAATGATGCAAAAGAATTCATGTAACTGATAAGCAAAATTTCCCACAGCTTCCTATTTTTCCCCCTAGTCCCCACTCTGAAAAATGCAAAAGTAATTTATGTTGTTGCTAAGACAATGGGAGTTCTACTTCTCATTTGCAAGGCACTTTACAGTTTACAAACCGTTCATACATCCTAGGGCCTAAGGAGGCTACAGTTGGCTTGAAGAGCCAAGTGGAATAATTTGTGTCAACCCTAAGTCACTGCCCTCCGTCAAATCCAAAAGGCCCGGAGCTTATGATTACCTGGGAGCAACCCAGCCTCATCCACAAAGGGCCAAAAGCCCATATGAAATGCCCAGTCATATGTCAAAATCAAGCCAGGGTTTTATAACCTCATAGGTAAAAGGATCGCTTCTTTTATTTCTTGCAAAGTGCAAATCTAGCCATTCTTTTTTCCTCTCAGGGAAACACACAGAGACCTCAATTTACCAACTCAAGCAGCCTGTCAAGGTCTCTATACATTCAATGCCAAGGTGTTTCATTGCAACTTTCTCGGCGGCCATTTCCTAGGCAACATCTAGTTAGGGAACTTCACAATGCTTGAACTGTCCAGTCTCCTTGAGATAGGGGAAGACATCTAGTGGAAACAGATTAATCTGTAAGCACAAAGAAAAACCAGTCAACTTGTTTAATACTACACAGCATCATAGATGAGATGAAAGGCTATGGTTATAAATGTTCCAGGCTGCCTCAATGGTTTCCATTTAAGCAATGGAAGTCCTGCTAAGGTAAGAAAAAGGAAGTTGGAATCTTTAAATCTGATTGGTGACCCTGGGAGCTGGACAGTAAGTGAGAAAAACCATTATCCCAGCTCTGTCTCTAGTTCATTGTATAATTTTGAATAAGTCAATTCCCCTCTCTGGGATTCCATTCTTAGTTGGTTAAATGAGAGGGTTGGATTAGTTGAGGTACAGCAAATGCATGACACACATGTTGCCATGGGAGACTTACCCATCCAAAGCCCATGCAGACATTGCTAATCAATCACAGCACCCTTTTCCGGTAAGCAGGACACAGTACAGTGCCACCAATAGTCCAGAGTTGGCACATGAAGCAAATAAAACCTGTTTACCATCCCTGAGCTAGACAACTTCCAAGGAGTTCTGCCTGTTATGACATGTTGCCCTCTATGCCCTAGTGAAGAGAACAAAGCAGAAATCAGGAAACCTGGGGCCTTGTCACCACCCTGCCTTGAGTTTTCAGTGCCACCGAGAAAGTAACTCAAAATCTAGGTCTTTCTTTCCTCATTTGTTAAATCGAGGGTAACAATTTTATTCTTGTAATTTTGGGGATCTTTGTAAAGATGAAAATTAAAATTACCACATAGTCTCTTAAAACAATGCGAATTTACTATATTACTATTCTGTAGGTCAGAAGTCCAAAATGGGTTTCACTGGGCTAAAATTGAGGCATCAGCAGAGCCTCCTTCCTTTTGGAAGTTCTAGAGGAAAACCCACTTCCAGCTCTACAGGCTGCCTTAATTCCATGACTGGCAGCCCCTTCTTCCATCTTCAAAGCCAGCAGTGGGGCATTTTCACAACTCTCTGACTCTGACTCTTCCGTTTATTCTCAACTCTCCTTCTCTTACCCTAACCTTCTGCCTTCCCCTTCCAGTATTTAAGCACCCTTGTGATTACATAGGGTCCACCAGGATAATCTTCCTATCTCAAGATCCTTACCTTAATCACATCTGCAAGGTCCCTCCTGCAAAGTGAGGTGACAGATTCACAGGTTTGTGGGGGTTAGGACATGAACATCTTTGGAGGTTCATTATTTAGCCTGCCACACCTCACATAATTCCTTATAAACATCGTCCTCCTGAACAAAGATAAACTGCTCCTGGAGGAAGGCTGAAAAAGGAATTAAACTGCAGAGTCACCAGAAACTTTCTATATCTGCCTGCCTAAACGCCAATGGTTAACATTCTGAAGAGAGCCACAGGAAGGCTAGTTCAGGCTGTTGTCCATTTCATCAACTCTCCACCAAGTTTTTGAGACGAAATACACAAGACAAATTTAAAAAAAAAAAAAAAAAAAAACCAGGAGTGGAAGAAATACTACTTTTTAAACTATCCAACAGCACCCCCCAGTGCCAAGAAGCAGAAAGAGGGGAGAAGGGCTAGCAGTTGGTAAAGGATCAGAATATTGTCCAGGTGTTCACGCTTGTAACACTCCTTTGGGAGGCCAAGGTTGGAGGATCATTTGAGGCCAGGAGCTTGAGACCAGCCTGGGCAACATAGCAAGACTCCGTCTCTAAAAATTAAAAACAAAAAATTAGCTGGAAATGATGGTGCATGCCTGTAGTCCCAGCTACTTGGGAGGTTGAGGTGGGAGGATCTCTTGAGCACAAGAGTTTGAGGCTGCAGTGAGCTATGATTGCACCACTGCACTCCAGCCTGGGCAACAAAGCAAAGTTCTGTCTCAAAAAATAATAATAATAATCAGAATATTTAGCTCCATGGTTCTCCATTAGACACACAAAGCGTGGGATACAACTGATCTGAGACTAGCCCAGGCGTGCGAACTGCATTTTTTTTTTTTTTTTGAGATGGAGTTTCACTCTTGTTACCCAGGTTGGCATGCAATGGCATGGTCTCAGCTCACTGTAACCTCCACCTCCCAGGTTCAAGTGATTCTCCTGCCTCAACCTCCCAAGTAGCTGGGATTACAGGCACCTGCCACCACGCCCAGCTAATTTTGTATTTTTAGTAGAGATGGGGTTTCACCATGTTGGCCAGGCTGGTCTTGAACTCCTGACCTCAGGTGATCCAACTGCCTCGGCCTCCCAAAGTGCTGGGAATACAGGCATGAGCCACTGCACCTGGTCTGCGTGAGCCACTTTCTAAGCTCACCAAGTGATTCTATGTTTTGGACCTTTGATTTACAGTTAAAACCACTGACTTCAGCAAAGCAGTAAACACAGTCTGAAAGCCTTCTAGGCCTTGGGGACTCAAAAATAAATATGATAAGGCTCCTCCTCAAAGAGAGCTTCCAATCTAGGTAGACTATAAGAGCTGGAAAAGACATTGGCCACAACTAACAACTATGGGACATAAGGCAAATTACTTAACCTCTCCGTGACAGATTCCTCATTTGTAAAATTAGAATAATAATAGTTCCTGCCTTATAGGGCTACTAAGAGAGTTAAATGAGGTGACTCACGTAAGGCACTTAACGTGGTATCTGATACAAAATAAGCACACGGCAAGCGTTAGGGGCCAACTGATGAGCCAGAGATGTGAAGTCCATGGCTACTGTTCCCTTGCAACTCACTGCCAACCCCAGAGTCATCTGAATGCTCCATTCTATTGAATGTGGACAAAGCTTCTGAATTCTTCTTAATCTAATTCTCCATGCATGAGAGAGAGAGAGAGGTAGGAATCCAATTTACCTTGAAAATTCCCTTTGCATTTTTCACTTAGGGAAATGGAGACCCAGGAAGTCCAAGTTCATTGAATGAGTCTATGCGGAGCTGGGAAAAGGGTCCAAATCCTCTGAAACTGATGCTCCACACATGCAGCTTTTCTGCAATCACAAGCTTGATGGGGTCTACCATGGCCACAGTGTGCTGTGCCCATAGGCTCCTTCTGGAAGGTTCCTGGATATTCTTGTCTACTTCCCTCTCCACCTTCTGCTTCCTGGGTGTTCTGTAGCAGCAGACATTCCCATGGTGGGCCAGGTGACGTTGTAAAAACCCGTACCCATTCCCACTAACAGAGCCCTGATACCTGTCTTGTGCTAATTGCTTGGCATACATGATCTCAGATGACTTCATACTGATTGCACAAGGCAGGGATTTTTAACCCCATTGTATAGATGAGAAAACTGAGACTTAGAGAAGGTTAGTGTCTTGTCCGAGGAAAAATGATTATTAAGAGGCAGAAGAGGATTCAAATCCAAGTCTGAGATCCACATGCTTAATCATTGGGACATATTGTTTAGCATTATATACCCATAACTTCATGAAGCAGATCCATTAGGCTTTGATGTGCTCCCCAAATTCCCAAGCTTCCCTTCATCATAACATTTACTAAAATACACTGAACCTACTAAATTACACATATGGGCCTCCCCCATGAGGCTGAAGTCCTTCAGCCACTACTCTGGCCAACACACACACGCCTACCTACACACCTTCTCTGGCAGAATATCCCACTTATCCTTCAGTTTTATGCTTACAATCATTCTGCAGGCAGCCTGCCTAAATGTCAGGTGTTCCTGTTATTTCCACCCATATTAACCTGTATTTCCCTTGTTTCAGCACTTGTCAAACTATCTGCAATATGTTCTCTGATGACAGTGGAATTAATCTAAAAGTCCATATAACATGTGAAAATTAAGAAACACTTGATTATATTCAGTAACAATAGCTACTGTTTATTGAGCTTTGTGCCAGGCACTATACTAAGCACTTATATAAATACAAACATGCACAAACGCACATGCATACATCTACAATCTCATTTACTGACTACTCCAAGCTTCTTAGGTGGTTGGTGTCACTTTTTCATTCTATAAGAGGTAGGGGTGGGAGCCTGCAGGGAATCAGCCTTGGAGAGTTTAAGTGATTTGCCCCAACCCATGCAGATATATATGTAGCAAAACCAGAATTTGAACCCAGATCTGTGAGTCTCCATCTCACTATACTATCCTGCCTCAGTGCAGCATGGGTTAGACTCACAGCTTTGTACAAGAACAAGAGACCCTATAAGAACAAGCTCAACACAGGAAAGTGGCATTCCTTCCCTCTTCTTACTGTCACTTCAATTACAGACATCTCTTGGAGATATTGCAGGTTCAGGTCCAGGCCACTGCAATAAAGTGAATATCACAATAAAGTGAGTCACATGAATTTTTTAGTTTCCCAGGGCATATAAAATTATGTTACTATAATCTAGTACGTGTGCAATAGTATTATGTCTACAACAATGTACACACCTTAATTTAAAAATATTTCATTGCTAAAAAATGTTAATGATCATGGGAGCCTTTAGTGACTTGTAATCTTTTTGCTGATGGAGGTTCTTGGGGTGGCTGGGGCAGTTTCTTAAAATAAGACAACAATGAAGTTTGCCACATTGATCGACTCTTCCTTTCACAAAAGACCTCTCTGTTGCATATGATGCTGTTTGATAGTACTTTACCCACAGGGAAACTTCCTTCAAAATTGGCATCAGCCAGGTATGGTGGCACGCAAATGTAATCCCAGCTACATGGGAGGTTGAGGTGGGAGGATCTCTTGAGCACAGGAATTCCAGACCCTGTCTTTCAAAAAAAAAAAAAATAGAGTCAGTCCTCTCAAACCCTGCCACTGCTTTATCAACTAAGTTTATGTAATAGTGTAGATCCTTTGTTGTCATTAAAACAATGTTCACAGCATCTTTACCAGGAGTAGATTCCATCTCAAGAAACATCTTTCTTTGCTTATCCATAAGAAAAGTAAGTCCTCATCCTTGCAAGTTTTATCATGAGATTGCAGCAATTCAGTCACATCTTCAGGCTCCACCTCTAGCTCTCTTGTTATTTCCACCACACCAGCAGTTCCTTCATCCACTGAAGTCTTCAACCCCTCAAAGTCATCCATGAGGGTTGGATTCAACTTCTTCTAAACTCCTGTTAAGGTTGATATTTTGACCTCTTCCTATGAGTCACAAATGTTCATAATGACGTCTAAAATGGTGAATCCTTTCCGGAAGTTTCTCTATTTACTTTGCTCAGATCCATTAGGAAAAAAAAAAGCTATCTATAGCCTCATGAAATGTATGTCTTAAATAATAAGACTTGAAAGTTGAAATTACTTCTTGATCCGTATGTCTTAAATAATAAGGCTTGAAAGTTGAAATTACTTCTTGATCCATGGTCTGCAGAATGGGTGTTTGTGTTAGCAGGCATGAAAACAATATTCATCTCTGTGTACATCTTCATCAGAGCTCTTGGGTGATCAAGTGCACTGTGAATGAGCAGTAATATTTTGAAAGGAGTTTTTGTTTCAGAGTAGTAGGTCTAAGTTGGCTTAAAATATTCAGTAAAACATGCCGTTAACAGATGTGCTGTCATCCAGGCTTTGTTATTCCATGTACAAAGCACAGGCACTGCAGATTTAGCAGAATGTTTAAGGTGCCTAGGATCTTTAGAATGAGTCACCATCTGCACTAGCCCCTAACGAGAGTCAGCTGCCCTTTGAAGCTTTGAAGCCAGGCATTGACTTCTTCTGTATAGCTATGAAAGATGGTATCTTCTTCCAATAGAAGGCTATTTTGTCCACATTAAAAACATGTTGTGTGATGTAGCCACTTTCATCAATTATCTTAGCTAGATCTTCTGGATAACTTGCTGCAACTTCTCCATCAGCACTTGCTGCTTCACCTTCGACTTTGATGTTATGGAGACGACTTCTTTCCTTAAGCCTCATGAAGCAACCTCTGATAGCTTTGAACTTTTCTTCTGCAGCTTTCTTGCCTCTCTCAGCTTCCATAGAATGGAAGAGAGTTAGGGTCTTGCTCTGGATTAAGCTTTGGCTTAAGGGAATATTGTGGCTGGTTTGATCTTCTATTGAAACCACTAAAACTTTTTCCATATCAGCAATAAGTTTATCTTTTTTTTTTTTTTTTTTTTTGCTTTCTTATCACTCATGTATTCACTGGCACAGAACTTTTAATTTCCTTCAATAAATTTTCCTTTGCATTCATAATGTGGCTAACTGGCACAAGAGGCCTAGCTTTCAGCCTGTGTTGGCTTTCGTGATGCCTTCCTCACTAAGCTTTATCATTTCTAGCTTTAGATTTAAAGTTAGAGATGCACAACTCTTTCTTTCACTTGAACACTAAGAGGCCATTGTAGGGTTATCAATTGGCCTAATTTTAATATCATTGAGTCTCAGGGAATAGGGAGGCCCAAGGAGAGAGAGAGAGAGATGGGGAAACAGTCAGTGGAGCAGTGAGAATACACACAATATTTATCTATTAAGTTTATCGTCTTATGTGGGCACCGTTCATGACACCCCAAAACAATTACAACAGTAACATCAAAGATCACTGATCACAGATCATCATAATAACAGATATAATGATAATAAAGAAGTTTAAAATTTTGCAAGAATTACCAAAATGTGGCACAGACACACAAAGTGAGCACTTGCTGTTGGGAAAATGGTGCCAATAGACTTGCTAGATGCAGGGTTGCCACAAACCTTCAGTATGTAAAAAATGCAACATTGACAAAGTGCAATAGAACAAAGTACAGCTTTACTAGAAAAGTTACCCAATTATGAATTGTTAATTGAACTCAGCCATCAGAAGTTGCCAACAAACAGGCCAGGCACAGTGGCTCATGCCTGTAATCCCAGCACTTCGGGAGGCAGAGGCAGGCGGATCACCTGAGGTCAGGAGTTCGAGACCAACATGACAAAACCCTATCTCTACTAAAAATGCAAAAAAAAAAAAAAATAGCAGGGCACTGTGGCGCACCTGTAATCCCAGCTATTCAGGAAGCTGAGGCAGGAGAATTGCTTGAACTGGAGAGGAGGAGGTTGCAGTGAGCTGAGATCACACCACTGCACGCCAGCCTGTGCAAAAGAGCAAAACTGCCTCAAAAAAAAAAAAAGTTGCCAGTAAATGGCAAAGTAGTTGCAGAAATTGATCAGAAAGAGATCACATGTTGGAGATGATGAAAAAAAAAGGGTACTCGGTGGCTTGTTCCTATTTCCAAAGTTCCAGAAGGAACTGTTAAAGCAAATAAATTAAGAACCATCCCCTCAGATCATGTATACATTCACCTCTCATCAGAATCTGAGCTTTATGAGAGAAAAGATAATTTTGTTCCCTTCTGTATCCTCAGAACCTAGAACACTGCTTGGCACAGAGTAGGTGCTCAAGAAAAAACACTATTGAATGGATTCATATTAACCCATATGATGGCAGCACAGAGGCGGCAGGAGAGATCATGGGGAACCCAAAATCACTGTTAAAAGTTGTACAAGGCCGGGCGCAGTGGCTCATGCCTATAATCCCAGCACTTTGGGAGGCCGAGGCGGGGTGGATCACCTGAGGTCAGGAGTTATAGACAAGCCGACCAACATGGTGAAACCCCATCTCTACTAAATACAAAAAAATTAGCCAGCATGGTGGCCCGTGCCTGTAATCCCAGCTACTTGGGAGGCTGAGGCAGGAGAATTGCTTGAACCTGGGAGGCAGAGGTTGCAGTGAGCCGAGATTGCGCCATTTGCACCCCAGCCTGGGCAACAAGAGCGAAAATCTGTCTCAAAAGAAAAAAAAAATTGTACAAATATGACACAAAAACTGTTTCAGGTAAATTTAAATGTTCAAAATTATATCCAATTTTAGAAACACATTTATCCTTTTTCTTATATCTTTCCCCCAAAATAATTATTATATAGTCCTAGTTGGGCATGGTGACTCACGCCTGTAATCCTAGCACTTTGGGAGTCCAAGGTGGGAGGATCACTTGAGGCCAGGAGTTCAAGGCCAGGAGCTCAAGGCTGCAGTGCTGCTGCACTCCAGTTGGGCAACAAAGCAAGACCTTGTCTCAAACAAATACACGTACATACATATATATATATGAAATATACTGATAATTAATATACAATGCCCTTCCTCTTCCATCATCTCTAATAATAATAATATGACATAGAGAATACTAGTAATTAATGCACAATACATCACATAAATTGATGAAAACAGCTAACAGGTTGTTACCATTTTTTCTGCGAATGGGCCAGTGAAATCTGTTGAACAAAAGGAAACAGAAGAGCATGTGTGTGGTAGAACACAGAGGCCAGGAAGGGGCTCGAAGAAAGGAACTGAGAGAAGATGGGGCAAGAGGAGGCTGACACCAGAGGAGGAAATTTCCAAGGGGTGGTGGGTTAGAAGAGGTTCAGGAGGGGTATCTGCGAGCAGGGGAGGAAACATTCTGAGCAGCTCAGCTGCAGAACCTTTGCTCCCTCATCCCTGGGACTCCCAGCCACTCTGCTATGCGGCTCTCTCCCAGGGACTACTTGATGGTCTTTTTGACTTTTTCCTGAATGTTCCACCTTATTTTTAATCATGGTTATTCTACAAAGCAATTACTCCACCCCATCCCCTTACTATAGGAAGCTAATTCTAAAAAAATTAATCAACTTTTAAAATAAGAATGCGCAGGATGAAGTCTTCACTAAAGTCTGTTAAAAAAAGGAGATGGCTATCTTCAGGGAGTGATTAATCGCAGCCTTTGCTATGCTTGACTAAATCACCCCTTGAAGCACTATTGATTCCTAACATTGGTGACGGGAGAACGCATCAGCCACCGTCACAGTTGTGCGCATGTCCACAAGAGGGCAGTGGTGCATGCAGTCAGAACCCAAGTTCTCACCCTGGCCTCAGCCGCTGGGATCAGAATTAGGGACTGCGATATAAGATCCAGAGTCAGAGAGCGAAGATCATCTCACACACACATGCTCACACACACAGGCGCACACACACGCACACACACAACACGTGGAGCACGGAGGCCCAGGGAGAAGGACTCGCCTATGGTCTCACAGAGACAAATTGCAGAGCTAGGCCTCCCTCCCTTCATCAGTTGTTCCCTGGGGAGTTGCTGTTAACAGACATGCTGGGGCCCACCCAGACCCAGTGAGTCAGAATCTCCAGGTGGGGCCCAGGCCTCAGTTTTTTAAAGCACCCCAGGGTTAAGAAGTCCTGCTATCTCCATGGTTGCCTCTCAACAAAAGGGAGAGAAAAGAGAGAAATATGAGTCTTCTATACCTTAGCAAGTGTCAAGACACTAAATGGGGCAGGAGAGGGGGAGGCAATAAATTACGCAATATTAAGAGAAAATGAATACAAAACAGAGTATAAGTCAAGGCCCCAGCAAACAGTCAAGGTCCTACTCAAATGGGGTACCTTGGGGAGAGTTAACAAAGGAATTGCAAATGTATAGTCAGGATGTAGAGAAACCTTAAATCAGTATCTGTGGGGGCAGTGACCCCCAGGCCAAAGGGAGTGGTTATGGGAATCTAGGGACAAGGCGGGCTGGGTGGCTTCCCACCACCTGGCAGGAGCTGTGATCTTCAGTAGAGGGAAGCAGCCAGGGGAATTAATACGCAAACCCACTCTTCCCCACTCTCTGAGTCCCTGCCAGTGCTCCCTGGGCCAAACTCAACCAGAAGCCAAAAGGCAAGGCAGCCATTGAGAGTCCCTAGAGATCTGCTCCTGAGGCACTGAACAGGCTGACCAAGGACAGAGAGTGCTTCGGTGACACACGCAATCACTGTTCAAGCGTTTGTCCATTCAACAAAAGTTGAATGAGCATTGCTAGATACAGACAGTATTGCGTGTAAAACGACTTTCACTTCTATTCCTCTGTGGATGAGGAATAGACATTTTTTTGCTGGTTTGAATGCAATATAGGCAAAGTCTCTTCTGGGAAAACAATAATAGGGCTTTAGTTAGAAGAAGAGTAATGCCTAAATATTCTTACTTCTTGGATTTGTTTTAATATAGCAATGAGCAACTTTCTTTAGAATTGGAAAATAGGAAAAAGTTTTCATTAAGTTACCATACAATAGGGTTGGTAACTTCCTGATTGGAACTACAGAATCTCCTTTCTGAGGCTTAGAAAAAAGATATATGTTCTTTAGATTTATTATACAATTTCTGCCTGTTCAAAGAAGTTTCATATATATATTTCATATACATTATCTTGCCCCTAACCTCCCTCCATCAGGGCATTTATCTGATCCTGGAGGTGGAGTCAGGGGTTTACAGTTGAGAACTCAGCAAAATTGAGTCTCAGTTCTCCATGACCTCACTGGATAACCTTGGCCCAGTCACTTCCCCCATCATAACATGACAGAGCTGGATGAGACGTGTAGGTTTCAAACATTTTTTAGCAGGAGGACTTAAAAAAAAAACTTACATGGCAACCAACAATATAACAGATTTAGTAACTCTTCACTTGTTGAAACAGACTCCCTCTTACCCTGTGGCTAAAAACTCCTGTGGAAATTCCAGAGAATTTTTCAAATTCCTTCCAGGACTGTGTTCTATGAAATATTAGTTCCATGACATAGTAATATTAGCATTTGGGGGGGAAGTAGGGGTATCAGCAAAGTTCAACAGATTCTCTTTGCTGTGGGAATTTTCGGGGACTTTAATATGGTAAAGTGTTTTGTCAATCTCTAGTCTGGTGATTTACTATATAGTTGGAGAAACAATGATCCAGACAAATTTCTTTTGATTTTTTTTTTTACCACAATCCACAGTCAGAAATACACTTTCTATCATGCGTGACTCAACACACACACAGAGTTACACACATACACACATTTCACAAAACAGTATCTTTACCGCATTCTTATACTGTCTAGTCTATTTCTTTCATTTTTTAAATGTTTAGATTGTGTGTGAGCGTGTACATGAATGGGTGTGTGTGGGTGGATGGGTGTGTGTCACTGGGTCATAGTGCAAAATTTATTTCTCACTGTAGGCTACAGTCACAAGTGTGTGAAAGCTGCTATCTTGGCAACTCAGCTCTAAGACTCCACCCGTGCAGGCCGCAGGCTGCTTGTGGGTCTCCGAGACACAGATTAACTGATTCCTTCTAGGGCTTAAAACATGGGAGCCTCTGTGCCTGTCCTCACAGCTGAGTTGGGCCAAAGAATGTGGGCAGGATGGAGTGAAGAAAGCTGGCACTGCCCTGGTCTGGGAGGTACGGTCAGGAACAAAGACAGAGTTTGTTTCAAAGGCTGCCAATCCCGCTTCATTCACAGGCACTAAATTCATTCCGCCTTCGTTGCCCTGTAGGAGGTCCCCCCTCACCCCGCGGACCCGCCAGGCACTTCCACAAGGGGTTAGTGTCAGATCTGGGCAGCTCTCCCTGCCTGATGTGATGGGCATTCAGGTTGCCTGTGAGAATCGGAAACAGAGTCGCGCTTGTCACTTGAAAAACAACATCTGTCCCCCACCGCCCCACGTGCTCCCTGCTCCCACTCTGACCCTGAGGAGGACCCAGAAAACAAACATGTCTTGAGGTGTGTCAGTGGCAGGAAGGGTGCTGGCCAGCCCAGCTGCTGTGTGCGGGTCCCCGGTGGTCGTCCTGCTCCACTCTCTTTTCCTCACCCCCTCTCCTTACTTCTTGTACGGGGCATCTGAAAGGACCACCTTCCCAGAGTCAGCCTCCCAGAGCAATAGGAGGCTACGCTGGGTCTGGCACCACCCTGAACCTTAAGCAATAATCTGGTGGCATTTTCTTTCATACAGATGGGGAAAATGAGGCTTAGAGAGGTTGTCGCTCAAGTCCGTCTGGTGCCAAGTTCAGGAGCTTCTAAGGCATGGAGAAGAGGGAGGTAGCAGGGACAGCAGATCAAACTTGAGTAAGGCCAGGGCAGTCTCGGGCTTAGGCAAAGTGGCCAGGGTTTCGCAGAATTAAGACCCAAGGGGTTGAGAAGTGGGCAGTTGAATGCAGGCACACTGAGAGTCGTGAGCTGGAGGCAAGAGCACACATTTTACCATCATATAGACCCAATTGTTTTAATTAACAGACTTTATTTTTTGAGAGCAGTTTTAGATTTATAGCAAAATTGAGCAGAAAATACGGAGCTCCCCCATGCTCTTCCCCACCACACACACAGCCCACCCCCACCCCAAGGTCCCCCACCAGGGTTACATTTGGTAGAATGATGAAACAACATAAATACATCATTATTACCCAAAGTCTGTAGTTTACATTAGGGTTCACTCATTGTATTGTACATTTTATGGGTTTGTACAGGTGTATAATGGCAAGTATCCACCATTGTCATATCATACAGAATAGTTTTCCCAGCCTAAAATCCCTGTGCTCCACCTATTCATCCCACCTTCCCCCCAGCCTCTAGAAACCACTGATCTTTGTACTGTTTCCATAGTTTTGTGTTTTCTAGAATGCCATATAGTTGAAATCATAAAGTCTGTAGCCTTTTCAGATTACTCAGAGCCAGTGTTTTAACCTTTATAAAAGTATATATGGACAACATTCACTTCAGGGAAGATGAAGAAAACATACGTTTCCTTATTTCTCCTAAATACAAATAAAAACCTTGACATTGTATACATAAAGCAAACTTTAAAAGACTCTGAAAGGTGGAGTGAAGAAGGCAGACCAGCTGGGGACCTCAGGAACTAAGAAACAACACAATCATGAGTTCTCTGGGTTTTCTTTTTGCGTCATGTATTCCAGACTTGGAGCTAAAGAAGCCCTTGACATGGAAACATCAATGGATGCAGACCAGAAAAGCCCCAACAGAAGTCTGCTCTGTCCAGCCGAAGGACCAGGAGAGCAGCAGCCTAAAAAGACAGAAAGCCTTTGAATAAAAATCACTTTTGTGTAAGATGTGAGTACTAAAACATAAAATAAGTAAAAAAAAAAAAAAGTAAAAACCACTGTACTCTAGCCAAACACCACAGGAAACACACACACACACACATACACACACACACACACACACACACACACACACACACACACAAACCTGTGGCCCTACCCCCAGTGTGCCAGCAAAGGTGGAGCCGGGAGTCTAGATTTCTACCTTTGCCAACCTGAAAAGGGACACCCCAAACCCCTACTGGGATGGTATCAAAGAGGGCCAAGTAAGGAGCTGGGACTTTCACCCCTGCCAGGTGGTAGCAAGTACCCTTGACATGAGGGTATCAGTAAAGACCACATGGAGCCTGAATTTCCAACCCCACCCAGCAGTGATGAGGTGTCCTTTCATCTCCCCGCTGGAACAGTCAATGGAAATAGAGTCGCCACCTCCCAACAGGTAAAGGCTCCCCTCCCCACACGGTGTCAGTGAGGCCACATGTGGAGCACTAACAAGGCCTTCCAATCCTTCCCAGCCAGGGAGGTATCAGTGGAGGCCTAGTGGATGGCCAGCACTCCCACCTCTGCGCAGTAGTAACAAGGAGGCCCTTGCCCTTTGAGTACCAACAGAGGCTGGGTAGGGAACTGTGACCTCTATTACCCTCCTGGCAGTAATAAGACAGCACTTTCTTATTACTCATTTCTCAGCAGACCAGTATCAGAGGAAGCCAGCTAAAACAAAAAGTTTAAATAAGATCCAGAATCTCATAATACCCAAAATGTCAGATTTCCATTAAAAACCACTCACTTTACCAAGAACCAAAAGATCTCAAATTGAATGAAAAACATAATCAGTAAATGCCAAATCACCAAGATGACAGAGATGTTAGAATATTCTGCTGAAGATTTAAAGTAGTCGTTATAAAAAATGTTTTAATAAGCAATTGAAACAAGTGAAAAAATAGTCTCAGCAAACAAATAGAAAGTCTCGCCAAAGAAAGGTAAGATGTGAAGAACCACACGGAAATGTTATAGCTGAAAACTATGATAACTACACCAAGAGTAAACACTAATATATATTATGAACTTTGAATGATAATGATGTGTCAATGTAAGTTCATTGATTCTAACAGATATACCACTCTGGTGCAGGATGCCAACGTGGGGTGGGGGGGCAGTGCTGTGGATGCATGGGGATAGAGAATATATGGTAACTCTCTGCATTTTCTACTCAGTTTTGCTGTGAGTCTAAACTTTTCTTTTCTCTTTTTTTGAGACAAGAGTTTCGCTTTGTTGCCCAGGCTGGAGTGCAATGGCACAATCTCGGCTCACGGCAACCTCCGCCTTCCAGGTTCAAGCGATTCTCCTGCCTCAGCCTCCCAAGTAGCTGGGATTACAGACATTCAGCACCACGCCTGGCTAATTTGTATTTTTAGTAGAGATGGGGTTTCTCTATGTTGGTCAGGCTAGTCTTGAACTCTTGACCTCAGGTGATCTGCCTGCCTCGGCCTCCCAAAGTGCTGGGATTACAGGCGTGAGCCACCACGCCCAGCCACTGTGAGTCTAAACTTTTCTAAAAAATAAAATTAATTTTGTAAAATATATAATGACCAAAATTATAAAAATCAATCAATGGGTTCAAGAGCATAATGAACCACACAGAGGAAAGGATCAATAAACTGTAAACTGAGAGATAGAACAATAGAAATTATACCATCTGAGCAACAAAAAAAGAACAGCCAAAAAAAGAAAAGAAAAGAAAGAAAGAAGAGCCTCAGGGACTTAGTCTGTTCAGGCCGCTATAACAAAATACCATAAGCTAGGTGACGTATAAACAACAGAAAGTTATTTCTCACCGTTCTAGAGTCTGGGAAGTTCAACATCAAAGTATCCAGATTCAATGTCTGGTGAGGGCCCACCTCCTGGTTCATAGAACAGCACCTTCTCACTGTCTCCTCCCATGATGGAAGAGACAAGGCAGCTCTCTGGGGTCCCTTTTCTAAGGCCACTAATAATCCCAGCACTTTGGGAGGCTGAGACAGGCAGATCACCTGAGGCCAGGAGTTCGAAACCAGCCTGGCCAACATGGTGAAACCCTGTCTCTGTTAAAAATGCAAAAATTAGCTGTGTGTGGTGGCATATGCCTGTAATCCCAGATACTCAGGAAGCTGAGGCAGGAGAATCACTTGAACCTGGGAGGCAGAGATTGCAGTGAGCCGAAATCATGCCACTGCACTCCAGCCTGGGCTACAGAACAAGACTCCATCTCAAAAAAAGTCTCTTCATTCAAATTGGTGAAATGATTACGCCAGTAAACTGTGATAAGTTACGTACATATAATATAATACCTAGAGAGATCATTAAACAGCTACACAAAGAGATGTAATCAAAAACACTATAAATAAATCAAAATAGAAGTCTAAAAATAAATTTAAATAATCCACAGCAACAAAGGCAGTGAAAAGAAAACAAAGAAATGAAAAACAGAGTACATACAGAAAACAAAACGTAAAGTGGCTGACTTACCATCTCAGTAATTACATGTAATGTAAATGGTCTACGTACTCAATTAAAAGATAGAGATTGGGCCAGACGCAGTGGCTCACATCTGTAATTCCAGCACTTTGGGAGGCCGAGGTGGGCAGATCACTTAAGGCCAGAAGTTTGACACCAGCCTGGCCAACATTGGGAAATCCTGTCTCTACTAAAAATACAAAAATTAGCCAGACATGGTGGCGCACATCTGTAGTCCCAGCTACTCTGGAGGCTGAGGCATGAGAATTGCTTGAACCCAGGTGGCAGAGGTTGCCACGAGTCTAGATTCTGCCACTGCACTCCAGTCTGGGTGACAGTGCAAGAGTTTGTATCAAAAGGAAAGAGATTGGTATAGGGGATTTTAAAACGCGAGCCAAGTCCATGCTATCTGTAAGAAACTCACTTCAAATACAACAAAAGTAAATGACAGATTAAAAGTAAAAGGATAAGCCAGGCATAGTGGCTCATGCCTGTAATCCTAACATTTTGGGAGGCTGAGGTGGGAGGATTGCTTGAGACCAGGAGTTCAAGACCTGCCTGGACAACATAGCAAGACCTCATCTCTACTAAACATTTAAAAAAATAATAAATTAGCCGTGCATGGTGGCACATACCTGTCATCCTAGCTACTCGAGAGGCTAAGGTGGGTGGATCACTTGAACCTGGAGGGTTGAGACTGCACTCCAGCCTGAGCAACAGAGCATGACCCTATCTCAAAAAAATTTTTGAAAAATAAATTAATAAATAAAAAGTAAAAGGATGGGGAAGGAACATCATGCAAACATTAATCAAAAGAAAGTAGATGTAACTATATTCATATCAGATAACATGAACTTCAGAAAAAAAAATAAAATTACTGGAGACAGAGAGGGGCGTTACATAATAATTAAACAGCCAATCCACCAAGAAAACATTGCAATCCTAAATGTATATGTACCAAACAATAGAGTTGCAAAATATGTGAAGTAAAAATTGATAGAACTGAAAAAAGAAATACACAAATTCACAATTTTAGTTGGAGATTTTAACACCATTCTCTCAACTATTGATAGAACAACTAGATAGAAAGTCAGCAAGGATGTAGAACTCAACAACCCTATGAACCAACAGGACCCGAATGATGTAGAGAGAATGCTTCACCCAACAGCTGCAACGGAACACACATTATCTTCAGGAGCCCATGGAACATACATCAAGATAGACCATATCCTAAGCCAATAAAAAAAAAAACTCAACAAATTTAAAAGAATTGAAAATCATACAGAGTGTGTTATCCAACCACAATAAACTCAAACTAGAAAAAAATAACAGAAATATCAGGAGAAAATTTCTTAACATTTAGAAACTAAATAACACACTAAATAACGTCTAAATAATCTGGCTGGTTTTGGTGGCTCACACCTGTAATCCCAACACTTTGGGAGGCTGGCCAACATGGTGAAACCCCACCTCTACCAAAAATACAAAAGAGCTACCTGGGTGTGGTGGCACGTGCCTGTAGTCTCAGCTACTTGTGAGGCTGAGGCAGGAGAATTGCTTGAACCTGGGAGGCAGAGTTTGCCATTGCACTCCAGCCTGGGCAACAGAGTGAGACTCTGTCTCAAAAAAAAATAAAATAAAAATTAAAAAATCAAAAAAAGAAAGAAAGCAAATGAAGGGAGAAAACAGTAAAGATAAAAAGGGAAATAAATAATCTATGGGTCAACAAAAGAAGTCTCAAAGGAAATTTTTAAAATATATTAAACTGAAAGAAAAAATATAACATTAAAAAGTTATGGAATATATCTATAGCAGTACTGAGAGGAAAATTTATAGCACTAAATTCATATTTTGAAAAAAGAAGTTTCAAATCAACAATCTAAGCTGCCACCTCGAGAACCTAGAAAGCAAATGAAGGGCCAGGCGTGATGGCTTACGCCTGTAATCCCAGGACTTTGGGAGGCCAAGGCGAGCGGATCACGAGGTCAGGAGTTCAAGACCAGCCTGGCCAACATGGTGAAACCCCATCTTTACTAAAAATACAAAAATTAGCTGCGTGTGGTGGCACACACCTGTAGTCCCAGCTACTTGGGAGGCTGAGGCAGGAGAATTGCTTGCACCTGGGAGGCAGAGGTTGCAGTGAGCCAAGACCGTGCCATTGCACTCCAGCCTGGGAAACAGTGAGACTCCATCTCAAGAAAAAAATAAAAATAAAAAAAAAGGAAAGAAAGCAAATGAAGGGAGAAAACAATAAAGATAAAAAAAGAAATAAATGAAATTGAAAACAAAAAAAAGTAGAGAAAGTCAGTTAAACAAAGGACAAGTTATTTGAAAGAGCAATAAAATGACAAGTCTCTAGCAAAACTGGCAAAGAAAAAATGGGAAGACATAAATTACCAATATTGGGAATGAAGCAGGGAATATCACTACAGATCCTGTAGATATCAAACCCATAATAAGGAATACTATGAACTACACACATAAATTTGACAACTTAGATTAAATGGACCACTTCTTTGAAAAGTACAAAGTACCTCACCTTACCCAATGTGAAGTAATTATTTGCTTAGCCCTATAACTATTAGTGAAATGTAATTCATCATTTAAAAACTCTCCAAAAAGAAATCTCCAGACCCAGATCTTTTTATTAGATAATTCTAGCAAATGTTAAAGAAGAATTAACACTAGTTCTATACAATCTATTCCAGAAAACAGAAGAGAAGGGACTATTTCCCACTTCATTTTATGAAGCTTAAATAATACCTTGATAGCAAAACCAAAGACAATACAAAGAAGAAAAGAAATTCACAGACCAATATCCTTCATGAATATAAATGCAAAAGTTGTTAACAAAATATTAGCAAATAGAATTCAGCAACATTTAAAAAAGAATTATATAAAATGACCAACTCATTTATTCCAGGGATACAAGACTGGTTTGATATTCAACAATTCACCGCATTAACAGGCTAAAGAAGAAAAATCACATGATTATATCAATCTATGAAAAAATCATTTGACAAAATTCTATATGCATTCATGATTTCTAAACACTCTCAGAAAAATAGAAATAGAGAGAAACTTATCAACTCGATAAGGAAAGTCTACAAAAGCCTATAGCTGACATTATGCTTAATGCTGAAAGATTGAATGCCTTCTCACTAAGATCAGAATCAAGACAAGGATACTACTCTTACTGCCTTTCTTCAACATAATGCTAGAAATTTCAGCAAATGCAGTAAGGCAAGAAAAATAATTAATAGGCATTCAGAGAGAAAAAGAAGAAGTAAAATTTTATCTATTTTCAGATGACATATTGTCCACATAGGAAATCCCAAGGAATCTACAAAAAAAAAACCCAAAAAATTAAAAACTCTTGGAACTAATAAGTGAACACAGAAAGTTTATATAAGATAAACATACAATGATCATTGTATTTGTACAAACTAACAAATTAAAAATAAAATATCATTTATAACCACTCAAAACAATGAAATGTTTAAGTAAATCTAACAAAATATGTATGACTGGTATGCTAAAAACTACGAAATGAAAGAAATCAAAGATCTAAATAAATGAGGGACGCATGGTGTTCATGGATTGAAAGAGTCAAAAGAGTGAAGATGTCAATTCTCCCCAAATTGATCTATAAGTTTAATGTGATCCTTCTCTAAATTCTGGCAATACTTTTTTAGATATAAAGAAGTGTATTCTAAATTTTAGATGAAAAAGCAAAGAAACTACAATAGCCAAAACAATTTTGAAAAAGAAGAAAAATGAGAAGAATCAGACCACCTGCTTTCAACACTTAGTCTATAGCTATAGTAATCAAGATTGATATTGGTGGAATTGGTGGTGATCTACATAGATCAGTGGAACAGAATAGAGAACTAATAAAAGACCCATGCAAATATGCCCAAATGCAAAACCATCCAATGGAGAAATAGCCTTTTCGACAAATGATGCTGGAATAACTGAATACCCAGAAGGAGGGAAAGTTAACTTCAACCTAAGTCTGACATCTTATACAAAAATTAACTCAAAATGGATTATGGACTTTAATGTAAGACTATAACACTTTTAGAAAAAAAACTATAAAATAAAAAATGGATAAAATGGACTTCATCAATATAAAAAATTTTGCTCCATGAAAAACCCTGTTAAGAGGAGAAAAGACAAACTAGAGACTGAAAAAACATATTTGCAAACCACATATCAAACAAGTAGGTAGAATATATAAACATCACTCAAAATTTAACTTAAAAAACAAACAATCCAATTAGAAAATGGGAAAAAAGACGTGTAGAGGCATTTCACGAAGGAGGATACACAGATGATAAATAAGCACATGAAAAGATGGTTAATATTGTCAGCCAGTAAGGAGATGAAAATTAAAACCAGAATGAGATATTACTACACACTTATCAGAATGGCTAAATTAAAAAATAGTGACAACACCAAACACTATTGATGATTAAGAAAAACTGAGTCGGCTGGATGTGGTGGCTCACGCCTGTACTCCCAGCACTTTGGGAAGCCAAGGCGGGCGTATCATCTGAGGTCAGGTGTTCGAGACCAGCCTGGCCAACATGGAGAAACCCTGTCTCTATTAAAAATACAAAATTCAGCCGGGAAAGGTGGCTTATGCCTGTAATCCCAGCTCTTCGGGAGGCCCAGGCAGGGAGATAATGAAGTCAAGAGATCGAGACCATCCTGACCAACATGGTGAAACCCCATCTCTACTAAAAATGCAAAAATTAGCCGGGCGTGGTGACGTGCGCCTGTAATCCCAGCTACTCGGGAGGCTGAGGCAGGAGAATCGTTTGAGCCCGGCAGGCAGAGGTTGCAGTGAGCTGAGATCGCGCCACTGCACTGCAGCCTGGCGACAGAACGAGACTCCGTCTAAATAAATAAATAAATAAACAAAATAAACAAACTGCCAGGCGTGGTGGTTCATGTTTGTAATTCCAGCTACTCGGGAGGCTGAGAGAATCGCTTGAACCTGGGAGGCGGAGGTTGTGGTGAGCCAAGATCGCGCCATCCATTGCACTACAGCCTGGGCAACAAGAATGAAATTCCATCTCAAAAAAAAAAAAAGAAAGAAAGAAAGAAAAGAAAAACCGAGTCACTCACGTATTGCTGATCAGAATGTAAGACAGGAGTACATCCACTCTGAAAAACAGTTTAATGGTTTCTTTAAAAGTTAAACACCCACCTACTATACAAAACAACAATAGCATTCCTGAGCATTTATTCCTGAGAAATGAAAATTTACATTTATGTAAGTTATACGCAAATGTTTATAGCAGCTATACTTGTAATAATCAAAAACGACAAATAACCCAAATGTCCTTCCAAATTGTTTGCAAATACCAACAATGCCATTGTAAGGGCCATTCTTGTGAAATGTCTTCTTTTTCATATGTGAGAGTTTGGAAGACACCGCTGAATGCCTCCCATAACCCATTCTCACCTTTCAAGGTTAATAAATTAGACAGACACTATCCCCGCTATTATACAGCTCTCAGTTTGGGGGAAAAGATAGACAAGTAAACAGGTATATGCAATTGATTGCTTCAGTAATGGGTTGCGATAAACCCCTGTCGGTTCACAGATACCCTAACCCAAAAAAGGTGTCAAATTCAGTGGCTGATAACACAGCTTGCATGAAGGAGCCTGGGACTGTTTTATATTCTCATGTAAAACTCGTCACAAAACTTTCCACAGGACAAGGAGAAAGCCCTAGGAACCCTAATTAAAACTGCCTGATTTAATTAGAAATCCAAACACTGCCAAGTCTCCCTGATCAATGGAGCAAGGAACAGTTTGCCTGATTTAATTATTTTGTTTAAAGATTAGCTTTTTTTTACTCTTATTGAACTCATATATGAATGAGCACATAAAGTAAGTAAAGTTATTAAAGGTCCACACACTAGAGTCAGATCATCCAGCTTCCTCAGTTATTCACAATATAACCTTACTTCACTTCCTTAAGTCTCAGTTTCCTCTCCTGTTAAAAAAAAAAAGACTTCATGAAAATACCTCATAAGGAAACTTATGGATGAAATGAAATAATGCATATTAATGCAATTAGCACAATGCCTAGCATATAGCAACTTCTCAATCACATTATGTGATGATAGTGAAACATTTGCATTATTTTTTAGGATGAATTCTTGGGAGTAAAAATACCAATCAGAGAGTTTAAATGTTCCTAAATTCCATGAACATACTATAAAATTATTTTCCAAGAATAGTAAGACCAATCCATATTTCTGCCAACTATGTAGAGAGCACCCATCTCTCCTTTCCCTTGCCAGTTTTGTCTGCTCTCATTTTAAAGTATTTGTAATTTCATAGGTGAAAGTGTATAATATATTCCTTTCTTTGTGTTTCTTTGATTATCAGCAAAGTTGAATGATTGTTTTAATGTCTGTTAGCTATTTGTATTTCCTCTTCAATGGATTGATTAAAATCCATTGAATTGGTTAAAATCTGCCACCTACATAACTATCAGAGTTTTTATTTTATCAATTTGTAGGAACTCTTTACATATTAAGATGTGAATTCTTTGTTGGCAATGTGAAATTTAATAAATATGTGTGGAAAGGTGAGAGCAGTTCTAGTGTTTGTCACTGGAATGGTGAGTGATGTTTATGAGTTGATTATATATGCCCTTCAAATTGCTTTTAAATCTGCATGAATGGTAGGACCACCATTTATTTTTGTTTTGCTTTCATCTACTTATATGTGATTTCCCATCCACTACAAACCTGAAGATACCTCTATTTGTTATTCATAGGATAGCTCTAGTGGATCCTGTTCATGCTTCTTTTTTCCAGCCAACAAATATGAGTATTGCTGATAAAATTCTGCTGCCCTCTTCTGTATAGAATTGCCCTGGGCCAAACAAGACCACCCTCACCAGCACTTTAGGAGGACAAGACAGGCGGATCACCTGAGGTCAGAAGTTCGAGACCAGCCTGACCAACATGGCAAAACCCCGTCTCTACTAAAAATACAAAAATTAGCTGGGTGTGGTGGCACATGCCTGTAGTCCTAGTTACTCGGGAGGCTGAGGCACGAGCATGGCTTGAACCTGGGAGGCAGAGGTTGCAGTGAGCCAAGACTGCACCACTGCACTCCAGCTTGGGCAACAAGTGAGACTCCATCTCAAAAACAAAAACAAAAACAAAACCACCCTCATGAGAGAGGCTACCCCACTTTCTCCCCCACTTCACCTGCCCACGGACCTCAGCCAATGACTGATTGACATCAGGGTATAAAAGGCCTACTCCCACTCCCTTACCCTAGGTGAGACTAATGAATGTGCACAATGTGTGCTCCAGAGCACTCATGGGAGCAGACCGAAGCTGGACCACACTATGGCTTACTTTCCTCCCCTGCCTCATGCTGCCTGCCTCTCTCCTTTTCTCCGGAGAGCATTCTCCCAATAAATCCCTTGAACAGGAATCTCTGTCTCTGGCTCTACTTCTAGGGAACGCAACCTAAGGCAGTGGCCTTTCTAGGAATAAATATTTCTGTTTGTACCTTTGTTCCCACAATCATTCCGTGTCACACACCTGGCCACACTGAGCATGAAACCACTTACTTTTCTTTTTTTGTTTGTTTTTTTGTTTTTTGTTTTGTTTCGTTTTTAGACGGAGTTTCACTCTTGTCACCCAGGCTGGAGTGCAATGGCACAATCTCGGCTCACTGTAACCTCCGCCTCCCGGGTTTAAGCAATTCTCCTGCCTCAGCCTTCTGAGTAGCTGGGACTACAGGCGCACGCCACCACGCCCGGTTAATTTTGTGTTTTTAGTAGAGATGAGGTTTCACCATGTTGGCCAGGCTGGTCTTGAACTCCTGACCTCAAGTGATCCACCCGTCTCTGCCTCCCAAAGTGCTGGGATTACAGGTGTGAGCCACCACGCCCAGCCAGAAACCACTTACTTTCTTGACGGATGAGTTAACCTATTGGTGAATTGTTTCAGTAGCTTGTCCAGGGTCATCCAGTGTGTTATTTAATATTTACTGAGACCCCTGAGGCAGAGCAACCTGCATGTGAACTCTTGGCCAATGGCAGCTGGAACTATTACTTGGCACCTAGCCCTGATGAACTGAAATCTCACATCTTGTTCCCCCAGGGCTGGCTCCTTCTGAGCAGAAAATGATTCATGCTGGCTCTGCAACTCCAGTATAGAAGATTCAGAAAGTGCCTCACCCAGAGGCCCAAGAGGCTGGGAAATACGGGTTTGCACAGTCATACATGGTTAGAGCTGGAGAATACCATAGTGATTACATAATCTCACAGATGGGGAAACTGAGGCCTAGAAAGATAAACTTAATTATTCAGGGCCAACCAAGCAGAGTAGTACTACCACTACAGGCCATTCTGGTCTAGGGGAAAAACATGGGTCTACCCATAATTTTCTTTGCCTTTGATTCCCCCATTATCTCCAATATAGCAACACTAGTTCAGCTGCTAGTGTTCCCAGTTTCTGGTTCCAACGGTTGTCTCTCATACTACACTCCCTATTGCTCCTGGCTCTCCCAACACTGCTGACTCTAGGGTAACCAACCACCCCAGTTTACCCAGGACTGTCAGAGTTCATGGGACATGGGACTTTCAGTGCTAAAACTGGGACAGTTCCAGGCAAACCAGCATGAGTCGTCACCTAACGGTATTCCTGCCTCTTGGAATTACACCTCCATTCTCTCCTGGGTCTTCTCCTGGCTCACAAACCAAACTATTTCTTCTCAGCTTCTAAAATATATTCTCTCTCTTTCTCCCACTCTCTCTCTCTCTTTCTCTCTTTTATTTTTTATGTTTTTCCTAGTAGGTATTTCTTCAAGGGTTGATTCTCAATCCAATATTCTTTCCTTAGGTGTTATCCCTGGCCAATATCATCTATTCTCAACCCTTGTAAACTGATAATCTTCCACTTCTATACCTCCCTCCTAGAGTTCTTATAAACTCTACAACTTATCACAAGTCCATATGGAAAATCAAACTCAACAAGTTCACCGCAGAATCCATCATACATCTCCCTTTCTTGGCTAATGGTGCCAGTGCTGGAACAGTGTGTAGGGCTGTGCCAATAGCTGTGACAGTGAGGATGAACATGACATCCAAGATACTGATTGCTTTTACCCAATACCTATTACCCTTTTCTCCTAACAATAGCACCTGGTTTTCTTCTGGGGACCCATCTCTCTCCAATATTCACTTTATTGTGGTTTGTGTGGGCAAATCCATTCAAGATCAGCTAGCCTGTTGGGTGAAGGGATCTGAGGACACAACACAAATGATGCACGTTCATCCTAACACTGCCCATTACTTCCTACAACCTGGATCCCTGGGCCTCCCCATTTCCATCCTTTCTGAGGCCTGGTTAATGAGCTTTTCCTTTGATTCTGAGAGCTAGGCTGTTTGCGTCCACTAACTTTATTTTTGCTGAACTTAGCCACAACTGTTTTTCTGTTGCTAATAACCAAAGAGCAGTAATAGATTCTAATGAGATGTCTCCCTCTCCCCTACCCACCCCATGTGTCACTGCCTCCCCATTGAAAACTCTGCAGAATTTCTTTCATAATTTCTCTCAAATCTAATCCCTCTTCTGCATCTGCATTATATGATTTATTTCTGGTATCATCATCTCTTGCCTGAACTATAGCAGTAACTCCCATTTTCAAGTGTCTACTTTGTGCCAAGCACTTAATAATTGTTCTTTCAAAACCTTTCAGAGTAGGTTTGGTTATCTCCTTTTTAGATACAAGGAAATGGACGCTCAGAGGTGGTGAGTTACCTGTCCAAGGAAACAGACCAGCCAGAATTTGACCCCACTCTCTCTCCACCACTTCACACAGCCTCCCCAACTGGTTTCCCATGTTGAGTCTTTCTCCTCACACTGGCTTCCAGAGGTGGTTTATTTAAGATAAAAATCTGGCTAGTTACACCCTTGCTTAAAAGAATTTCTGGGGCTCTGCTGGCTCAGAGTATGCCAGCCAAGGTCCTAGGTGTAGCCCTTTTTTTTTTTTTAGACAGAGTCTCCCTCTGTCACCTAGGCTGGAGTGCAGTGGCACAGTCTCAGCTCACTGCAACCTCCACCTCCCAGGTTCAAGCCATTCTAGCGCCTCAGCCTCCCAAGTAGCTGGGATTATAGATGCGTGCCACCATGCCCAGCTAATTTTTGTATTTTTATTAAAGACGGGGTTTCTCTGTGTTGGCCAGGCTGGTCTTGAACTCCTAACCTCAGGTGATCCACCTGCCTTGGCCCCCTAAAGGTGCTGGAATTACAGGTGTGAGCCACCGCACCAGGCTGGCATGGCCCTTCTTTATCCAATCCCTACTTCCTGCCCAGACCCAGGAGTGCCCACTCCACAGCTCAGGCTCGCTCTTCTGGGCACATTAACTGGCTGGTAGGGCACACTAGGCTATTTCTTGCTTTACCGCCTTTGCCCATACAGGTCCTTCTTTCTGGAATATCTTTCCTCTCCTGTCTTCTCTCTTCTCTCAAGACTTAGGTCAGTAGCTGTTTCCTCCAGGAAGCCTTGTTTGACCACCTATGCCCCTCCACTGCCACCTAAGTGAAGCTCCTCCTTGCCTGTGCATCCTGCTGTGTAGACCAGCACCTATTCATTTACTGCATTATAGTACAACTGTTTATGTCTATCTGTTTCCCCAACTAAGCCAGAAGCTCCCAGCAGGCCAAGGCTGTGGTTTCTCTCTGCTTGAGTGGGATTCCAGCACCTGGCACATAGTAAGTTCTCAGTTCCTGGTGACTCCCCTTGCCCTTCCTGTTCAGATGGTTTCTAGGGCCTCCGCTGCCCTGGAAACCTGCGACAATGCTGCGGCAGTACAGGTAAAACCGTTCCCCCAGCCCTGTCTCTGAGTGCTGCCACCATCACAGAAACTGGGCTCAGCAAAAAGAAAGCTAAAGAACTTAAAACCTTTGTTTGTATCTTCTAATGCTGTGAAGGGGATTCACGCAATAAGAATATGTCTTTTAAAATTTCCCTTTTTCCCTCTTCCACTTCCCCAAGATGCCACAGCTGCATCAGAACCAACGTCTTCAATGCTCCCCCTCATCTCTGCTCTCACTTTCTTGTCCTTCTGACACTGCATAGGCAGAAAAGAACAAAACTGGCACAGCTGGAGCCTCTGCAGGAGATAGAAAGAGGAGAGTGGCTTTCTTTCCCTCGGAGTGAGAGCAGGGGACAAATGGAGCTCACTCATCCCTCTCTGGGTGCATCCTAATTTATATAACTATTTACCTCCTACTTAGATGTGTCTAACATTTTGCTATCGTAAAATATGTTTCAAAGAACATCTTTGGCCAGAGATGTTTGCCCCAGCACCTCCACTGACTAACTGTTTGACTTTTGACCTTAAACAAGTTTCTTATCATCTCTGTGTCTCAGTTTCCTCAACTGCAAAATGGAGATAAGAATTCCCACCTTATAGAGTTGCTCTGAGTATCAAATGAGACCAAAAAATGCAGAGTACTTAGAACAGAACCAGGCTTATAATAAGCAGTCAGTAATCTTGGCTATTTTTGTTAGATGGTGGTTGTGCTTGTTGGTTTATTATTATCAAGCCTGTATCACCTGCCTTGTCCTTCTATCTGACCATGATGCTATTGTCATGACTTGGATATCCCACAGACATCTCAAACACATTTTATTTAAGACGATTATCACCAAACACCACCTCCCCTCCTACCCTATCATTCCACTAACTTTTTTCTTCTATATTCTTCCTTTTGATGAATGGCTTTGCTAACCCCCTACTCTCTCAAGTCATAAGCCTAAGTAAAGATCAACCATTCTGGTTTGCTCAGGACAGAGGGGTCTCACAGGATGTATGACTTTCAGTTTTACAACTGGTAAATTTCTAAGCCAATAAGGATAAGGGCCACCCTAATTCTTAATCCTTCCCCAGCTTCCCACATCCTTTGGCCACTAACTTCCATAAGCTCAACCTTCTGAATCCATCCCTCCATTCCACTGCCACCAACAAACCTTATCCTTGAGCCTCTTGTTTCCTGCCTGTGGTTTCCTTGCATCCACTTTTGCCTCCCTGTCATGTGCCCGGCATACAGTGACCTCCCCAGAAGACACACTAAGATCCTTCAATGGCTCCCCATAGTCTCACTCTTAGTCCTAGATCCTTGCCACTACCGGCGTTCTCTTTTGTCAAAACTCCACAGATAGGCCACTGTTTATTTATAACCATTTTTATATTTTTAATAGTTTTTTTTGTTTGTTTTTTGTTTGTTTGTGTTTTTTTGAGGCAGGGTCTCACTCACTCTGTTGCCCTGGCTGGAGTGCAGTGATGCATTCTCGGCCCTCTGAAATCTCCCAGGTTCAAGCAATTCTCCTGCCTCAGCCTCCTGAGTAGGTGGGATTACAGGGGTACGCCACCACACCCGACTAATTTTGTGTTTTTATTAGAGACGGGGTTTCACCATGTTGGCCAGGCATGAGCCACCATGCCCAGCCAATAATTATAAATTATTTATAAGCACTCTTTTGCATAAAACATAGTCACATGTTTTGGTCTAGCCTAATAACACCTGTTATGTGAATGGAAAATCACTTTAAACAGACTTCCCCTTAGGATGAGTAAACTCTCTTAGTTGGCAAAATACATTAAGTGGTTGGGTTGGAATGTCTCTCCTATGTGAGGCAGGGGAGGCACTTGTGTTGGGGCCAGAGGGAGGAAAGAGAAAGAGACCAGAAAAATGGAGGAAATGGAACTGGGAGAAGGCAGAAAGCTCTGTGGCTGGGACCCCCAACCTGCAACATCTGCCCCAGCCATCTTCAGCAGCAAACTAAGCTCACAAAAGAATTGGTGCATGTGGGTTTTGTAGAACTTGGTGGAAGGGCAGAACTTTGCCTCAGAATTGACTTGGGGCAGGGAGCACAAAGCAGTGAGGTGGAGGAAGAGATCAGAGCAAGAGAGAAATTGCAAAGAGGACTTGTGACGTCACAGGCTGTGGTGTTTGGGTTCAGGTCGAGGTTAACCAGACTTCCCAGGGAGGGGGAGCCCCAGCTGGCATCTAGGTTGCATAGATGCTTTCTGAAACACATTTTCACCCCTACAAGTCCTGGTGTGGGTTCAGGTGTTGCGATCTAACCAAAGCACCAAGAGTACAGGAGGACAATGATTTGTCTTCAGGAGAAGCCAGACTTCAACAAATTGACCCTCTCTCTCTGATTCTGGCAAAAGCTTGTCATGGCTTCAGCTTTCACTTCTGTTCTCTGCCCAGGCCTCCTGCTCCTCTTGTCCTTATCAAAACATATCTATCTTGTGTATTCATCCTCAGATTTTATCACCAAGGATCCCTGTCATTTATCCTTCCCTCTCTTCTTCCTCTCTCCTATAATTTTCAAAGATTTTATTGATCAAAGTGCATTGGCTCATGGTTGATTTATTTCTCCATATTTTAGCAATCAGAAGCTTGTACAATTGTCAATACTTCTGATTTGCTTGAGATAAAATTCATGCTGAACTGATATAATTCCAGGTCAAAACAATGCAGCTTTGTGGCTTAATAGTAGCTAATGTTTATGGAAACCTTATCATGTGCTAGGTAGCAATCCATTGAGGTAGGCATTATTATTATCCCCATTTTACAAACAAGGCCACAGAAGGGCTTAGCTTCCCTTCTGTGCAACTAGGTAACAAGCTAGAATTAAAACCCAGGTAGCTGGGCATGGTGGCTCACACCTGTAATCTCAGTACTTTGGGAGGCTGAGGTGGGCAGATCACCTGAGGTCTGAAATTCGAGACCAGCCTGGCCAACATGGTGAAACCCCATATCTACTAAAAATACAAAACTTAGTCGGGCATGGTGGTGGGGGGCCCGTATCCCAGCTACTCAGGAGGCTGAGGTAGGAGAATCACTTCAACCCTGGAGGCAGAGGTTGCATTGAGCTGAGATCATGCTATTGCACTCCAGCCTGGGCAAAAGAGAAAGACTCTGTTTCAAAAAAAAAAAAAAAAAACCCAGGTAACCTGGTAACAGAGCCCAAGACCTTCTATCCTTTTGTTATATCAAACTATTGCCAAGGTGCTTAAATATGCAGTTAAAGTATATAATGTCCATCATGTTTTATGAAATATACTGAAAATTTAGAGCCCCTCTATCGCTATCCTAGTACACCCCTAAGAGCTCTCATCTTCTAAGTAAAGGAACACTATAATAAATAAACCTGGCCGGTCAGGTGCGGTGGCTCATGCTTGTAATCCCAGCACTTTGGGAGGCCAATGCTCCCAAGTGAGCTCAAGAGTGCAAGACCAGCCTGGCCAGCATGGTGAAACCCTGCCTCTACTAAAAATACAAAAAATTAGGCCAGCATGGTGGCTCATGCCTGTAGCCCCAGCTAACTGCGAGGCTGAGGCAAGAGAATCGCTTGAACCTGGGAGGCAGAGGTTGCAGTGAGCCAGGATCACACCACCGCACACCAACCTGGGTGACAGAGCAACACTTCATCTCAAATAAATAAGTAAATAAATAAATCCCTCTTTAAGATAGTAATTACTTTTTGTTTTAGTGTTTTAAAGAAGCTGGTTTTACCACTTTATTCTAGAGTTTAAAAAAAAATCTCCTTTTTTTAAACTTGATTCGGTATACTTCTTTTCTTTTTCTTTTTTTATTGACTACAATATTTAAACTGCTCTGCCCAAAAATACAACAGCAAGGAAGGAAGCTTCATCTACTAATCATTTGCATACCTCTATAAATACTTCTGATTCTTACTAGCATACAGACATCAATTTCACCTAACTTTTGAGAAGTGTATACATATTCTTTTTGGTGCTATTTTGGATCCCATCCTTTTTATTAAGTGTAGCTTCAGATGTTCTCTACCGATGTAATTCATGCATTTGTCTTTTGATGCTTGCCATCTTGTGTTAATGTGTGGGAGCTTGCCATTCCACCTTCCAATTTGAGGTCATAGGGCTGGGTGATGAACATTACAGAGCTATAAATATTTCTGGTTTTTGTTTTGTTTTGACAAATGACCTTCTTTTCTTTTCAAATTATTTGCTTAGGATATTTTCCCAAAAGTGGGACTGCCAGGCCTGACAACAGAAGGGCTTAATGAAGCAAACACAGACATTGGAGTGAGGCCTGACTTCACCACTTACTGTCGGGTGGCTTTAAACATTTGCTTAATCTCTTCGTAAACCTCATAAAGCAAATGATAATAGTATCATTCCCATAAGGTAGTTACAAGGATTAACAATAAAATAAAAGACATGAAACCATAATAGGCCGTCACTAAATGGAGGCAGCTGTTGTTACTATTACTAATTTAAGGCCTTTTATTTTTTCTGTAAGTTGCCATCTTACTTTCCAGAAAGCTTGCACAATAAAAAGATGCTGCTCAGCTTACATCCAGATAAACCCATCCTAAGTTGAAAATATCCTAAACTGAAATGGATTTAATACACCCCACATACCAAACATCATAGCTTAGCCTGGCCTACCTTAAACATGCTCAGAACACTTACATTACCCTATAGTTAGGCAAACTCATCAAACACGAAGCCTATTTTATAATAAATGTTAAATACTGTTTGCAGGTGGGTATTTTATAGACATGATAAGATGTGAAAACACAATATTCAAAAAACGTTGGCAACACCATATGCAGTAAAGTATTGTTTTACCCCTGTGATTCCATGGCTGACTGGGAGCTGTGGCTCACTTCTGCTGCCCGGCATTGCAAGAGAGTACCCTACCTCGTATCACTAGCCCAGGAAAAGATCAAAATCCAATATCTGAAGTATGGTTTCTACCAGACGCATGTGGCTTTCACACCATCATAAAGTCAAAAAATCGTAACTTGAACCATTGTAAGTTGAGGCCCATCTGTGTAGCTTAATTATTAATTAAGACTTAATGCCTAGGCACTGTGGCTCATGCCTGTAACCCCAGCACTTTGGGAGGCTAAGGCGGGCGGATCACCTGAGGTTGAGAGTTCGAGACCAGCCTGGCCAACATGGCGAAACCCCATCTTTACTAAAAATACAAAAATTAGCCGGGCATGGTGGCAGGCATCTGTAATCCCAGCTACTCAGGAGGATAAGGCAGGAGAATCACTCGAACCCAGGAAGCGGAGATTGCAGTGAACCGAGATCATGCCACTGCACTCCAGCCTGGGCAACAGAGCAAGACTCCGTCTCAAAAAAAAAAAACACTTAATAATTCAGACTGATCATAGTTTAATGTGTTTCCCATCTATGGCATTTTCTTTTAGTAGGGCTTCCAAGAGATGGCATACCTTAGTGCAAATATTAATAGTAGAATCATCTCCCAACAATAACATATTAGAGGGAGGCTAATAATGTTATTGGAACATCCCTACCATTTATTGGTCACTGTTTACATGCCAGGCATAGTGCAGGAAGCTTCGCTGTGTTTTCCAGCTTAATCTTTGCATCCCTACAAGTTATGAATCACAGTACCATTTTAAAGATGAGAAAACTGACTCACTGTGATATTACATAAATTGTACTGGGCTGCACAGATAGAAGAGTCTGAGTTCAGGCCGGGCCTGGTGGCTCACACCTAATAATAATCCCAGCACATTGGGAGGCCGAGGTGGGTGGGTCATTTGAGGTTAGGAGTTTAAGACCAGCCTCGCCAACATGGTGAAACCCCATCTCTACTAAAAATACAAAAATTAGCCAGGCGGTAGTGGCATGCGCCTGTAATCCCAGCTACTCAGGAGGCTGAGGCAGGAGAATCGCTTGAGCCTGGGAGGCGGAGGTTGCAGTGAGCCGAGATCATGCCACTGTACTCCAGCCTGGGCAACAGAGCGAGACCCTGTCTCAAAAACAAATAAACAAACAAACAAAAAGAAGAGTCTGAGTTCAGTTTCAAACCAAGGTCTATATGACTTCAAAGCTCATGTTCTCTCCTTTGCACCAGGCTGCTTCCTAGTAAACTAGAATAACCATCCATTACTGATTACAGTGATTACTTTTTATTAAGTAAAATATAACGTGGACACCTGGGGAATATCAGGGTTCACACTTGAATCTTTCTGGAATCTGCTGTTTTGACGATCATTCTTGGCTGGACCCCTGCCCTCAAAACCATAATGTAATTTGATATTCTCATTCCCACAGCAGAAAATTCAGCAAGCATTCCCGTATCTTCAGCTATAAGCCCACCTGTGCTACTTAGTAAGCTTGGGCAAGTTTTTTAACCTACCAAAATCTCAACCTTTTAATCTATGAAGTGGGACTAATAATAGGACCTAACTCAAAGGGCTATAATTAGGAAAATTAAATGAACTAACATATGTACAAATTCCCAGTACAATACCCGGGACCTAGTAGATGTTTAGTAAATGTTACCAACTATTATAAAACTAACACATATTTTTTAATTTTTTATAGAGACAGAGTCTCACTATGTTGCCCAGGCTGGTCTCAAACTCCTGGGCTCAAGCAATCCATCCCGCCACAGCCTCCCAAATTGCTGGGATTACAGGTGTGAGCCACCAAGCCCAGCATATATTATTTTTAAATAAAGAAATAACCCATTTCCAACTTAGATGTCCTTGTCTTGATCCCTTTCCTCCTCTGCATAGTTCCCCCATCCTATCTCCGATAATATAAAAGCTGTTTGGAGATATTTCTGCCCGGGATTAGGTGGGGAGAAAACAAAATTAAACCAACCAGGCTATAAAAATTTTTCTTTGCCAAGATGGCTTTGAGTCAGGCCTGCTGGCAGCCAAAATATATGAGCCAAGGAGAGACGAAGGGTACAAGTCCCTTTAGAAAATGCCACTGTCAGGATCAATCTCTGGCATGGAGTCAGAGCTCGCCTCCTCTACGACAGGGTGAGCTGGACTGGACAAGCAGCCTTTGTTGCCCCAGCGGCCCCTACAGAGGTCGGGCCCAGATCCCTAAGTGTCAGCCAGCCTGGATTTCCCACTTGGAAAGTGAGGGCAGAGCCAGGGCCCCCAGGTGGGTCCCCTCTCACAGGACTGGTCACACCTGGCCAGAATGTTACACATCCATTCCTGAGAAGGGCAGTGGTGCCTGGAGGCAAAGTAACAAGGGGAGGTCATCAGAACAGTCATGACAGGAGGGAGCCAAGGTCAATGTGGGGAAAGAGAACCCAGCCTTCCAGGGAGAGGGAGAGCCGGTGAGAAGGTCCTGAGGGGGGTTGGTGGCTTGAAGAGTGGACAAAAAGCCACTGATAGCTGGACAGCAATGAGCTAGGGGCAATGGTAAAGTGAGACTAGCAGGGTGGGAAACTCATTGCTCAGGAACTTCTTGCTACATTGAAAGTTTCAGTTTTTATCTTAAAGGAAATGGAACATTTTAAACAGAGGAGAGACATAATCAGATTTGCATTTTAAAATAATATGCTGAATAAATATTCTTGAGCACAATAGGTTATGCAAGGTATCAAGAAGAGTGTTATGAAATAAATAGCACTTATTAAACATCCAGTTTAGCAGGGAGATGAGACCAGTAACCAAATGATTCTAATATCATGTGGAAAGATACATGTCTCATTAGAAAAGCTTTGTAAGTGGGGGACATAGAATTCAAAGGTAGAAGAGGGTGTTCTAAGAGAGATCTGCTAAGCTTCATGAAGATGGTGGAATTTGTAGAGGCAGTTACACAAGTAGGTAGCATAGCCTAGTGTTGTAGTGTGGACATTGTAGAGTGTAGACACTGGTATCTGACAGCCTGGGCCCAAAGTCTGCCTCTACTACTGGCATAAGAGTCGTGAGACCTTGGGTAAATTGCTTAACTTTTCTGTTCATTAGTAGTATTATTTTTATTTGAGCCAGACTTTAAGGAGAAATAGGTTTGGGACATACAGAAGTGAGACAGAAGGCATTAAAGAGGGGACTGTCTTTAGGGAAGAGCATCACTAAACACACAGGAAGAGCAAAGCAACTTCATTTGGCTGGACACAGTGTATTAGGAAGAACAGTTGAGGGCTGGGTAGGGTGGCTCACACCTGTAATCCCAGCACCTTGGGAGGCCAGGGCGGGTTGGATCACTTGACCTCAGGAGTTCGAGATCAGCCTGGACAACATGGTGAGACCCCATCTCTACAAAAAAAAAAAAATTGGCCAGGCGTGGTTGTGCACACCTGTAGTCCCAGCTACTTGGGAGTCTGAGGCCGGAGATGGTTTGAGCCTGGAAGATCAAAGCTGCAGTGAGCAGTGATCACAACACTGCACTCCAGCTTCGGTGACAGAATGAGGCCTTGTCTCAAAAAAAAAAGAAGAAAAAAATAAATAGTGGATTAGAGAACAGTATTAACACTCTACATTTTTACCAGGTGTCAGAACTCCATACACATTAATTCATTTAACCTTCATGACAACCCTGCAAGGAAGATGTAACTTCCTTCATTTTACACAAAGAATCTGATGCCTCAAGATGTTAAGCAGCATGGCCAAGCTTGTAAGTGGGAGAGAGAAGATTTGAACCCAAATCATCTGACTCCAAAGCTCACACCCTTTTCACTATGACCACACTTATGCCTCTCTTACACCATGTCCAAAGAGTAGGACAGCACCATCTCCTGAGCTAACGCCCCATGCTCCTCAGCCACTGAGGACATTTGAGGGTCTGATCCACACATGGGGAGATGATTCTGAAAAAATATTCCAAAAATGCCTTAAGCAAAAAGAGAATATTTTCAAACCAAGTACAATGTCATCCAAAGGGGACTCTTTGAGGAGTTCAGCATTCACTTGGATGTGTCAGATGTCTGGAGGTTTTTAAGCATCAGTCATATTACTTTATATTCGCACCTCTATGTTACCTTGGAGTAGCAACAAATTAAGCCGGAATCAGCTATTCACACTGAATGATTTTATAAAGTTTGCTTTGTTCCCGCAGCTTGGCTACTTTAAATGCCAAAAAAGGAAGCAGATATGGTGGAAACTGAATTAAAAGAAGGCGCATAAATTACTCCAACATCCTGGACCCTGCACTTCCAGAATCCCTTTTCATCAGTTCTCTTAGCTCTCAATCAAATAAAAAAGAAGAGAGTAGAGGCAAGAATTAAAAAATGTTACTTCTGTCCAAAAAGAACAATGAATGACAAATGTGTTTTGTACATTGTAGAGTAAATTCTGACAGGAAAACAAACAAACAAACCAGCGAGTCTTGGAGACTGGGAATTGCCACTTGAGAGAGAATTGACATTTGGCAAGTTTAAAAATAGATCATCTAATGGAAAGGGCATCTGCTCACTGAAAATATGAATCCACACACAGGCCTGGGGCAGGCAGAGATCTCTGACCAGGTTATTGGGTTATTCAATAATGCCCTATTTTTAGGGCTGTGGGGCCAGGAAAAACAGCCTGGTGCCAGTGGCTCAGTTAAACACAAAGGCAAGGGCATGCAGAGTATGTCTCCCAAGTACCTAAAAATAAGGATTTGTAATACAGAGTATAGTTGTCTGTGGCAAAGAGATGATGATGTAGCTCTTAAAGCCTGCTGATTTAAAGGAAAGGATGTTGATGTGATGACCGTGCCAATTCTCATTGTGGTGCCCAGAAACATGGAAACGTTAGTGCTGGAGGGACTTTGGAGACGGCCTAGTACTGGACATGTGATGTTCATAGCTACCCAGAATCTGAACCCTTCAGCTCCTACACTGGGGAACTTTCCATCTCAGGAGTGAAGCTGGCTGGCAGAGCCTGCCTCTTTCTCTGGAAAGCTCTGCTTTCCCACTTCCCCTGGCAGCCAGGGTTCAAGTGTGACCTAGCTCAGAATGTCAGGTGCACCTGCTCAGGTTTGTGAGTCAGGATTTAGTGACCCAAAGAAGGAAGGAGAGTGGCAAATTCTTTCCGAGGGTAGCAGCAAAGCCAGCAACATCCAGTTTCCAAGGACAGCAGAGCCAATTTAGTACAGGGGTGCTCTGTGCCCACTCAGGGCACAGGTGCAGGCTGTGACACTTGGCGTGTCAAGCGGCCACAGTGGCCTCACCACTGTCTGGTCCCTCCCTGAGATTCTGGCCCTGGCTTGTCCGCACAGTCTTCCTTGCTTTTGCCTGTCCTCTAGGTCTGGTCCTCCAGGCTTCTAGGTAATCTTGTAAGCTGGCCAGCATCCTTTCAATCAGTTCATTTTCTGCTTCAATTGTCCAGAAGCAATATTTGTTTCTTTGCAACTAAGAGCCCTGACTCTATAATAATCCAACCCTGTTATTTTACAGATGAAGTTGTGAATGAGTGGGAAAGGACACACAGCTAGTTAACATCAAATCCAGGCCTTGAAAGCAGGTCTTCGGACTCACAGGTTAGTGTGTGTGCCCCCCGCTGTGGTGCAGCCTTACAGAAGAAGCACAGATGGTGCATGTGGACTTGGCCTTCTGTCCCTGACACACCCTCACAGTTCTCTTCTGCCTGAGGGTTACCACTGTCATGACATATCCACCAAATTGTCTATATCTGTCCTGAGTAATTCCCAAGGTCATAATCCACCTACCGTCAGTCACTTTCCCTCTGGGCCCTTCTTTTTAGGCTTTCTTTCTTCCAAAAGTGATTGAGTGCCTACTATGTCCCTGGTACTACACTAAGAACTAGGGATCCTATACTGAGGAAAACAGAAGTGGACTCAGACATCATGAATATTACAGTATAGAAGAGAAGACAAACGTTAACCAAATAACCATAGAAACATATGATTACACATTTAAAAAAACTAAGAAAGAAAATGGGCCTCATCTACCCTAGAGTTTAAGAAAGACTCCCTGGGAACGGAACATGTAATCTGAGATCTAAAAGTTGGTTTATGTAATTTAGTGAAAAGAGGGGAGGTGGGTTTCTAGGAAGAAGGACTAGCACTCCATAGGTCCCAAAGCAGGAGGAGCACAAAAGTAGGAACAACTGAAAGAAAGCCAGTGTGGCTGAGCAAGAGGAAGAAGAACGAAAAGAGCTGGGACTGAAGCAGGGACCCAGGGCTGGATCATTTACGGCCTAGATCACCTTAGGGCCTACGGGCCTTGTGAAAGATTTTGCTGTTGACCTTCCAGGCAGCAGGAAGCCACTGAGTGATTTTAAGCAGAGGGGGACATGTTTACACTGTATTTTTCAATGATCACTGTGTGTGTTCTATGGAGAATTAATTGGAGAAGAGGTTAAGTGTGAACATGTGCAAACTAATTAGCAGGCCATTGTCATAGTTCTAAGGAGAGGTGATGGTAGCTTAGACTTAAGAGATGGCAGCGGAGGAGGAGAGATATGTTCAGACTGGAGAGACAGTTGGGTTAAAAAACAGAACTTGGTATTTGGGAAGAATGGAGAGAAGGTGTTAAGAATGAAGCCACACTTATCGATAGATGGTGGAGTTATTCACTGTAGAAAGGCCAGTTTTGAGGTAGATGGGACATCATGAGTTTGGTTTTAAATAAGCTGAGTTTGAGATGCCTTTTAGAACAGAAAAGTCAATATATGCGAATCTGAATCTCAAAAGAGAAGATCAGGCTAATGAAATAAAATTTTAGTGTTATTGTTGTATAGGTGATCATTGAAGCCATGGGTGGGGATAAGTTCAGTTAGGGAAAGAGGATAGAGGGACAAGAGAAAGAGAAGTGGGGAAAAGCTTTTGGGAATTACCTTTGAAGATCACATGGAGGAGGGTAATCCAGCCAACAATATTAAGAAGGAATAGCCAAAGAAAGAAGAGGAAAGCTAGGAGAATGTGTTTCACAAATGCCAAGGGCAGCAAGTGTTTTGAGAAGGAGCTGGTGTCCATAGTATCAAATGTTGCTGCAAGTTGAGCAAGCTGAGGATTGAAGAGTTGCCAGTTGTTCTAACAACATGGTGGCCATTATTAACCTTAGTGAGAATCATTTTGATTGCATGACGGTATCATTAAAAAGGATGAAGTGAGCTGGAAGATGAGGAATGACAGACATGAGAAAATGACCTCCCAGGAAGAAGACAATTCTTTTGAGAAGTTTTGCTATGCAGAGAAAAAGGGGGATATGAATAGTGGGGGGAGTGGGGTCCAGGGAGAACACTTTAGGATGTACGAGGCTTAAGTGCCTAAATGCTGAAGAGGCACATAAACATAGGTAGAAAGAGCTTCAATATTTTCTATCAAATAGATCTGAAAATTGTTATCAGGTAAAGTTAACCACCCACCTCCCAGGAAATATTGTTTTTGTTTAGATACTTGATAACTTATTCCAAGTAATAGATGGTGTGGGACTTTCAAGAGGACAGCCCCAGGCTCTATCCTCTGAGCACCAACACTTGGTTAGTGTCTATTGCAGGACTTCCAATGTTGTACTGTGATCTATCATCTGTCTTCTTCACTCAGGGCCTATGGGCCTTGTGAAAGATTTTGCTGTTGACCTTCTGGGCAGCAGGAAGCCATTGAGTGATTTTAAGCAGAGGGGCACATGGTTACTCTGTATTTTTCAATCACTACTATGCGTGTTCTATAATTAATTGGAGAAAAGGCAAGTGTGAACATATGCAAACCAGTTACGTTCTTAAGAGGGTAAGGACCATATTTTCCTTATGTCACTTGGGTCAAGTACAGAGCCTAACAGGGCCATGGCATTGCACAAGTTGCGGGGTGCTAGAGTTGAACTATGATGGCTCTGCCTGACACATTGCACTCTAAATATATTTATCAGATGATGAATGAATAAACAACACAAACAAGTTAGAAACAGGCCTCTGAAAAAGAACACTGGGGTTTGGAAGGTACTTTTCACCTTCCATCAAATCTCACCCCTCTGTACATTCATCCACAAAGCTAGCTCTGATGGCAAGATAATCCCTGTCTTGAGCAATATGATTTCTGATCAATATATTTTAGAAGTACTATGTGCACATCAGGCTTTGCCAGGAACATCCAGACCGAGGATGCCATGTCACAAAAGCTCGTCCCTGTGGATGGAAGACTTGGTGAGCTAAGTCAGCTCTTCTTTGGCCAAGACAATTTCTCAAAGAAACCAGACTTCTTAAATCAACCTTTGCCTGAATTCCTTGGAAAATGGAACAACATTCCGGCAGGAACAGGCCAGAAATTGTCCCAGACCTGGGGCAGTTACTTCAAATCTGGGCTGCCTACTGCCTCTGGAGACCAGTCTGAGAGTGTGTGATCTTCTTTTCCTCTTTCATTCCTTGCATAGCCCAAGTCTAGGTGATGTCATGCTCATTATGAGAAAAAAGCAATCACAAAGTTCTCATCCACTTTTACCTTCTCTCCTGAGTGGTTCTATCCATAGGGAATCTGCTAAGTCCAGTTTTCCTTTCACCTGGAATATCAAGGGCACCAATAATAATTGGCAAAATTCACCCCTTTTGGCACCCCACCAGGGAGTGACGACATGATAGCTGTTGTTACCTTCTGTTCAGGGCCCTTCTGTACCCTGCGCTATGTCCCAAGGAGTGAACTGCTACAGGCCATATCTCTTGGGCTCCCTTGTCCTCTGGGTTCCAGCTGGGTTTGGTTACTGAAGGCACTGGTGGAAGATTAAGAGCTAGAGAAGTGTGAGGTCAATATCTTTTCACTGATCCCTCTCTGCTGCTGCACAGGGGTTCTGGTAATGTATTCCCTCTAAGACCCCTCTGAGATGCCAATCCAGGCAGCTCCTCCTTCATGACTCCAGCTCCCACAAGGCCCCTTTAGGCCAATGGGCAGCAGACTTCTCCCTGTGGCTACTCCTGGGTGCCTCCTCAGCCTTAGCTGTTTCTCTAACCTGGCTTCACCTCTGTAAATAGGTAGCCTTTGTTCAATTCTTTTCCAAACTCCATCTGAATGTAGTGCCTGCTTCCTGCAGGGACCCTGACTGACACACCCTCCTTGTCCCCCTTTTCATTAGGAGACCAAGGGATAAACAGTTGAAAAGTTAAATGGCAGTATGAGTGAAACAATGATAAATATGTGAGAATACATTTAAGCAACAAACAGGCACGCTTACATTTTCTTTCTAACTTAGAAAAGTGGATTCCCAAAGTCCGTCTCAAAAACTCAGAAAGCTCAAAAGTTTTCTGTGGGTTATGCGGTGCAGCTCCTGTATTTTTACAAATATGGGTAAATTTCTGACTGAAAGACATTTTCAGGCCGGGGTGGCAGCTCACACCTATGATCTTAGCTACTTGGGAGTCTGAGGTGGCAGAATTGCTTGAGGGCAGGAGTTAGAAACCAGCCTAGTCAACATAGCAGAGATCCCTATCTCTAAAAAAAATTAAAACAAAAATTAGTCAGTCATGGTGATGTGCCTGTAGTTCCAGCTACTCGGGAGGCTGAGGCCCAAGAGGTCAAAGCTACAATAAGCTGTGATTACACCACTGCCCTCCAGCCTCAGCGACAGAGTGAAGCCTCAACTCAAAAAAAAAAAAAAAGACATTTTCAAATGTTGACTGGTGGAGAACTTTTTTCCTGCAATCTTGAGCACCACTGATTGACGTGGAGAGGTATGTTCATTTCAATGAGTAGGTTTCTACAAATAGGCATTAAGTAAAATCCTGAAGTAAGTAAAACTGCTTTTACTGTCCCCTTTCCTGCATTTCATGCTGTTCCTGGTGCTCAGGGTCTCTTCTTCCACAGCAAAGCAAGGTGAAAAGCTAAGACACCAAGCCATTAGTGACCTGTAACAGCCTTCGGATCGTAAAACAATTCCAGAACAGTAAGTAGATCTGGTTTTTACACAGAGACCTCTGATACCTCTATCCTCCCATGCCCCTATCTCTCTCTCTCTCTCTCTCTCTCTCTCACACACACACACACACACACACACACACACACACACAACACTGAAGCATTTGACAGAGCATACAGGTGGGCTTAACCTTGCCCAGTGGGCACAAGTCAAACCAGAGAGATACAATAGAAAAGAAATTATATATACACACACACACACCCCTCCAAGTATATATACACCTCCAGATATATATATACCTGGAGAAACAATAGAGAAACCATCAAGAAAAAGTGGATCTGGCCAGGCTTGGTGGCTCACACCTGTAATCCCAGCCCTTTGTGAGGCCGAGGCAAGTGGATCACCTGAGGTCCGGAGTTCAAGACCAATCTGGCTAACATGGTGAAACCCCATCTCTACTAAAAATACAAAAATTAGCTGGGCACAGTGGCAGGCACCTGTAATCCCAGCTGCTCTGGAGGCTGAGGCAGGAGAATCGCTTGAACCCAGGAAGCAGAGGTTGTAGTGAGTCAAGATCGTGCCATTGCACTCCAGCCCAGCCTGGGTGACAGAGCAAGACTCCATCTCAAAAAAAAAAAAGCTGGATCTAAGTGTTGAGCAATATTTGGTCAATGAGATAATTTAGTGGTGGTGGCTCAGAGTAGAAACAACATTTCCTCTTTCTTAAATGTTTTCTTTTTCAAGGCTGCTGGAATTAGGGGTGTCGTTTATTCCTCATACTTGTGTATAACCTGTATTCTGCCTAACCCACATTCTTTCTCTTTCCCCTGATGGTGCTGACAACTACTTTTTTGTCTCTTATTCATAGCTGTAGCCAGACTGCTCCAGACAATCTATTTGGCTCCCCAAACTTCCGTTTTTCATTAAAGGAAATGCTGTGGGGACGGTTTGTAACTCAAGGGTTATCTTTTTCAAAAAATTCCACTTCTGATTAATATGGCACCTTATAGTCACTGACAAGTAGACCCGTTAGGTGTGCTTTTATTATTTTTGAGACAAGAGAGTTGTGATACAGACATAAACTCTATTAAGGCTGATGGGTTGCTTAATACTGTACCAGCAAGGAGTACTAAAGTGACCCTACTCATAGAAACAGCGATCACTCACACCTCCCCCAAATAATGAAAACGGCACCTAGGTAAATGAGCAGACTGAGGTGGATAAAAAGATATATGACCACCCCCAACTTCAACTTAAACAGCTTCTCAGTGTCTGGGCCTGGCATTGAGACTCTCTGCAGACTGCCTCCTACCTGTGCCTCCAACCATCCTTAGCATCTTTTCCATCTGAGCCCTGTATCTTTAAATCAGCAGTCCCACTTCTGTGCCTTATTCTGGGAGACGATATGAGTGAAGACTCAGAAATTCATCACAGCCTTTGTTCCTTCCCTCTGTCATTCACAGAATATTTAGCATGCACCTATGTTCCTGGCATTGGTAAAGGAGGGATTAATTCACTATAGAGCTGCCTGGGACCCAATGGGGTAAGGCTGCCTAATTCGCCAGTAAGCATTGTCTAAACTACACTTCTAAACTATCCCTTGTTAGTAAGAAAGGTGATGTTTTTACTTCTGTCTTTACCCTTTTATTATATTTATTGAAATTGTCCAGAACCCAGGGGAGGAAGAGGAGTGCTTTTTAGTGTATGTGTGTGTGCACATCTGTGGGTGTGTGCGTGTAGGCTGTCCCTTGAAATCCAGCACCAGGCACTTTCTACCACTGGAGATAATACTATGAATAAGATAGCATGGTCCCAGTTCTCCTAGAGTTTACCTTCTAATAGAGGAAGACAAATAAACAAAGATAAATTCAGATATTGGCAAGTGCTGGGAAGAAAATGCACTAGAGAATAACAGAATGCTTTCAACAGGAGGTCAGGGAAGCTTCTCTGAGGAGGTGACCTGGAGGTGAGCCTGAATGATAACAAGACATGCAGTGAGATATGCGAAGAGCTATTTAGGAAGGAAACAGCAAGTAAAGCATCTCCCAGGTGGGAAGGAGCAGAGCATGAAGAGCACTGTGTCTGTGAAGGGAGATTTGTGTGCTTCAGCTCAGTTAATAAGATGAGGAGTGAGATGAGGTCAGAGAGAGCTAGGCAGGGAGCAGGTAACCTAAGGTAAGGAACCTGGATTTTCTTCTACTTGCAATGGGGAGCCTTGAAATGACTTAAAGTAAGAGAACACATAGAATCTGATTCACATTTTTAAACTTTTTAGTTATAGATTCACAGGGAGTTGCCAAAAAAAATGTACCCAATGGTTTCATATACCCTTCCCCCTTCTCCCCAATGTTAGCATCTTATGTAACTGTAGTACAATACAAACACCATGAAATTGACGTTGCTACAATCCACAGAGCTTATTCAGATTTCACCAGTAATACAGGTACTCCCGTGTGTGTGTGTGTGTGTGTGTGTGTGTGTGTGTGTGTAGTTCTTGCCAATTTTTTAACATGTGTAGCTTCCAGTAGCCACCACCACAATCAAAATGCACAACTGTTCCATTACCACAAGGCTCCATGGTATTACCCTTTGTAGCACTCCTACTCCCTCCCCACAAAATCCTAACTCCTGGAAAATACTAATCTGCTTTCCATCTCTGTAATTACAACATTTCAAGAATATTGTACAAATGGACTCATACAGTATGTAATCCTTCGAAATGGGCTTTTTTCACTCAGCAGAATTCCCTTTAGATCTATCCAACTAGTCGCTTATATCAATAGGCCCTTCCTTGCCAGATGCAGCGGCTCACACCTGTAATCCCAACACTTTGGGAGGCTGAGGTGGTCAGATCACCTGAACTCAGGAGTTCAAGGCCAGTCTGGGCAACATGGGGAAACCATGTATCTACAAAAAATTTAAAATCAGCAGGTCCCAATTACTTGGGAGGCTGGGGTGGGAGGATGGCCTGAGCCCAGGAGGTTGAGGCTGCAGTAAGCCATGTTCATGCCACTGCATTCCAGCCTGAATGACAGAATGAGACCTTGTCTCAAAAAAAAAGAAAATAGTCCTTTCCATTTTATTGCTTAGTAGTATTTCGTGGTAAAGATGTACCACAATATAACTATTCATCCACTGAAGGACATCTAGGTTGTCTCCATTTTTTAGCAATTATAAATAAATGCTTATAAATAAATGAACATTCATGCGCAGGTTTGAACATTGAGTATACACTTTCATTTCTCTGGAATAAATATCCAAGGGTACAGTTGCAACATTGTATGCTAAGTGAATTTATAATTTTTTTTTTTTTTTTTTGAGATCGAGTCTCCTTCTTGTACCCCAGACTGGAGTGCAGTGGCACCATCTCGGCTCACTGCAACCTCTGCCTCCCTGGTTCAAGTAATTCTCCTACTCAGCCTCCTGAGTAGCTGGGATTACAGGCACCTGCCACCACACCTGGCTAATTTTTGTACTTTTAGTAAAGATGGGGTCTCGCCATGTTGGCCAGGCTGGTCTCGAACACCTGAACTCAGGTGATCCGCCTGCCTTGGCCTCCCAAAGTCCTGGGATTACAGGCATGAGCCACTGCAACTGGCCGAATTTTTAGTTTTAAAGGAAACTGCTAAACTATTTTCCAGAGTGGCTGAACCATTTTACATTCCCACTGGGATTGTATTCTCGGTGATCCAGTTTTTTCACATCCTTAACAGCATTCAGTGTTATCACTATCCTTTATTTAGATCTTTGATTTCTTTCATCAGTGTTTTGTAATTTTTAGCATATGAATCTTGTACTTGTTTTGTTAAATTTATACTTAGGTATTTCATTTCCTTTGGAGCTATCATAAATGATATTGTGTTTTTAATTTCAGTTTCCACATATTCCTTGTTAGTATATAGACTTTTTTGTGTGTTCATCTTGTAACCTGTGACCTTACTGAACTTACTAGGTGTAGGAATTTTTGTTTTGTTTTGTTTGGGTTCTGGAGTAGATGCCTTGGGGGTTGTCTACATGGACAGTCATGTTGTCTGCAAATCAGGGCAAATTATTTCTTCCTTTCCAATCTGTATGTTTTGGCTTTTCTTCTACCTTGCGCTGGCTAGAGTTTTCACTACTGTGTTGAGTAAGAGTAGTAGGAGTGGGCATCCTTACTTTTTTCTTAATCTTAGAAGAAAAGCATTTAGTCTTTCATCATTTAGCGTAATATTACCTGTAGATTTTTTGTAGATGCTCTTTGTCAAGTTGATTCATTTCCTTCTATTTTTTTGAAAATTTTCATGAATGGGTATTGAATTTTGTCAAATGTTTTTTTCTTCATCAATCAAGATAATTATGTGAATTTTCTTCTTTAGTCTGTTAATGTTGTGGATAACATTATTTGATTTTCAAATACTGAAGCAGCCCAGTATCCCTGGAATAAATCCCACTTGGTCATGGTATATAATTTTTTATACATTGCTTGATTCAAGTTGCTAATATTTTGTTAAATATTTTTGCATCTAAGTTCATGAGAGATATTGGCTAATTTACATTTTTAAAAGATCACTCTGGTTTCTTGTGGAGAACAGACAGAAGAGTGAGAATGGCAGCTGAGAAACTAGGTAGAAAGCTAGTCAGAGTGGTCCAGATGTTATCCTGGATTACAGATATGTCAGTAGAGGAGATGTCATTGGAGTCAAGATATATTGTGGAGGTACAATTAATTGAACTTGGGCCGGGTGCAGTGGCTCACACCTGTAATCCCAGCATTTTGGGAGGCCGAGGCATGCAGATCACCTGAGGTCAGTAGTTCAAGACCAGCCTGGCCAAATGGTGAAACCCTGTCTCTACTAAAAATACAAAAATTAGCTGGGCATGGTGGCACAGCTACTTGGGAGGCTGAGGCAGGAGAATCGCTTGAACCTGGGAGGTGGAGGTTGCAGTGAGCCGAGATCCTGCCACTATACTCCATCCTGGGCCACAGAGCAAGACTCCATCTCAAAAAAAAAAAAAACAGAGAGAGAGAGAATTAATTGAACTTGTTTTGCTGTTGGATTAGCTGTGGCTTGGTGGGAAGGAGGACTGGTGAAGGAAAGGGAAATATTAAGGATGAGGAGTACCAGGGAGAATAGACAGATTCCATTCAATGAAATGGGAAAGGCAGGAGGGGGAAAAACTGGGCAGGGCGATGGGATGTAAAAATCAAGAGTACGGCCGGGCGCGGTGGCTCACGCCTGTAATCCCAGCACTTTGGGAGGCCGAGGCGGGCGGATCACGAGGTCAGGAGATCGAGACCATCCTGGCTAACACGGTGAAACCCCGTCTCTACTAAAAATACAAAAAATTAGCCGGGCTTTAAATCTTCTCCCTAGGACAAAATTATCTGACATTTTCATTTGTCTTCTTTATGACTTAGATTAACATTAATTTTACAGCTTTACTGATCCAAGTGTTGGCCTTGGACTAGCAGCAAGCATGGCTTTACCTTGGAGCTTGCTAGAAATGCAGACTATCAGGCCCTGCCCCAGAACTGCTCAATGAGAATTGGCTTCTTATGACCCCCAGGGGGTTAAGAAATGTTTAAGAAATGCTGTTCTAGAGCACACTGCCTCTTGTTGGCTCTGAAATAAAAGAAAAGTATCTTAATTATTGAACTTGTCATTATACCACTTCCTTAAATGAGCCATCTTCATGGTACTCAAGCTATACTCCTTTTTTCTTTTCTAAATCATTCTTTCCATTTCATTTTCTTCTTAATATTTTAAAAAAGAGACAAGTACAAGAACTAGCCAGGCTTTCATTCTTCCCTTGTCTTAGCATAAAATGTAAATGTGCATAGTCATTGTCTCATCTGTCTTGCATAGGTGCAACTCGACAGAAGAAAAAAACCATTTGTTTCCATAAATAGGTATTTAGCATCACTTGGAATATTATCAACCTGCCCTAGGAATCTTTTATCCCATTCTAGTTTTAGATTTTCTTTTATGAAAACTTAATTCTTCTCTTTTTCTAAAAATACTTCAAGTTTTCAGCCAGGCGCAGTAGCTCACGCCTATAATCCCAGCACGTTGGGAGGCCGAGGCAGGTGGTCAGAAGTTCAAGACCAGCCTGGCCAAGATGGTGAAACCCCATCTCTACTAAAAATACAAAACTTAGCCGGGTGTGGTGGCAGGTGCCTGGAATCCCAGCTATTCAGGAGGCTGACGCAGAAAATTGCTTGAACCCAGGAGGCGGAGGTTGTAGTGAGCCGAAATCGTACCACTGCACTCTAGCCTGGGCGACAGAGCAAGACTCCATCTCAAAAAAAAAAAAAGAAAACCTTTAAGTTTTCTACAAAACATTTATTCCTTAATCACTGAATCAATATAGTTCCCTTTTTGTTCACTCCTTTATTCCTTTGACATCTAGATGCAGGATAAATCTTTAAAATATGGGTTGCATTAGCAATTCTTTTTTTTTTTTTTTTTTTTTTTTTTGAGATAGGGTCTCGTTCTGTCACCCAGGCTGGAGTGCAGTGGCATGATCACAGATCACTGGAACCTTGATCTCCCAGGTTCAAGAGATCCTACCACCTCAACATCCCAAATAGCTGGGACTATAGGCATGTGTCACCATGCCCAGCTGATTTTTTATTTTTATTTTTTCATTTTTATTTTCTTAGTAGAGACAAGTTCTTGCTATGTTGCCCAGGCTGATCTCCAACTCCTGAGTTCAAGCAATCCTCCCTCCTTGGCCTCCCAAAGTGCTGGGATTACAGGCATGAGCCACCACACCTGGTAGCGATTCTTATTTGTTGTTTTTGCTTACTTTTTGTGATGTAAGAGGAAAGAAAATAAAGAATTATCATCTTATTCTTGTTTTCCCTAATATATTTGGGATATACCATAAGACAGAATGGTTGTTTTGTGAAATGATATTTGGAAGTAATCAATTTTGTTCAGATTTTCCATTGTTATTTCATGTGACTTATTTCTGCAGGTAAAGTCTTTAATTATAATTGAATAAATAACAAGAGGAAAAAAACCCTGTTAAATCTGTAAATACCCTGAAGCAAAAAGCATAGAAGAGATGTGATAGATTATCAACCCTCTTACATTTGCTCAATAAAATAAAAATATATGAAAAGACATTTATATTTATTATACCAAAATTCTGTTGGTTAGTAATCTTCACTGAAACAAATCTTGTATTATGCAACCTAAATATCTTATATTACAGTTTAAGCCTATTTTGTTTAATGCTGTCTTTGTGGATCAATGTGAATTACTGGACAACAAAAACCTTTTAGCAAATCTTGGTTGAAAAAAGAAAGGGCTTTTTTTTTCTGATATTTCTTATCTTGACTTACCTACTTCTAAAACAATTTTCCCACTTTGATTTGTGTACAATGCTTCCATAATTTTTGTTTGTTTGTTTTTGAGATGGAGTTTCACTCTTTTTGCCCAGGCTGGAGTACAATGGCATGATCTCAGCTCACTGCAACCTACACCTCCCGGGTTCAAGTGATTCTCCTGCCTCAGCCTCCCGAGTAGCTGGGATGACAGGCGTGTGCCACCACTTCTGGCTAATTTTGTATTTTTAGTAGAGACAGGGTTTCACCATGTTGGCCAGGCTGGTCTTGAACTCCTGACCTCAGGTGATCCGCCTGCCCCAGCCTCCCAAAGTGCTGGGATTACAGGCGTGAGTCCCTGCGCCTGGCCCATAATATCATTTCTGTCTTGATTTATAATTACTCCTTTAGCATTAATTTTTCATCTTTTTTGTATTTCCAAAATTTCCCTAATACATCTGAAATAAGTATCCTAAAATGCAGCCTGTGGCAAGATGCACATTATATTTAAATATATTAATAATGATAGGGATTTTATTTCTTGTTTCTTTAATTGGCATTTGTGAGAAACATGTTCTGGTTTAGTTTTGTTCAAAAAATGGTTTCCTGAATAGTCTTTTAAGCTTAATCTCGTATTGAGGATTTATTTTATTCTATCTGGAACTATATATTGAATGCCCAATAGGGAGTGAGGGAAATGAGGCTACAAAGAGTGGGGAAACAAAGTTATTATATTTTTATTTCTTATTGTAATAGCCATCAAGAAAATATTTTAGGCTGGGTGCAGCGGTTCACACCTATAATCCCAGCACCTTGGGAGGCCGAGATGGAAAGATCACTTGGGGCCAGGAGTTCAAGACCACCCTGGCCAACATGGTGAAACCCCGTCTCTACTAAAAGTACAAAAATTAGCAGGGCGTGGTAATTTTTACATCCCTGTAAGCCCATCTATTTCGGAGGCTGAGGTGAGAATCGCTCGAACCCAGACTGCACTCCAGTCTGGGAGACAGAGTAAGACTCTGTCTCAAAAAAATTTAAAAAAAAGAAAGAAAAGAAAATATTCTAGGTCGGGGCTGGTGGCAGATGCCTATGATCCCAACACTTTAGGAAGCCAAGGCAGGAGGATCACTTCAGTCCAGAAGTTTGAGACCAGTCTGGGAAGCATAGCAAGATCCCGTCTCTAATTTAAAATAATAATAAAACGAAAACATTCTAAGCTCTGTTTATTTTATGTGTAAGTAAGTTTCTAACAAGCTTAAAGTGTGTTATGTTCTAATAAACCAAACTTACTTGGCAAAAAAGAAGAAGAAGAGCACAGGCTAAATAAAACTCTGCCTCTTCCAGCCTTGCTTGCCATCCTGCATTTTTTTGCTTCCCTAGTCTCTTAGGTGCGACCTCAAAATTGTCCTTTAGATCTCTGAATGGATATCGTTCTTTTCACTCAACCTTGAGTTCCTTTCCGGGCCTTGATCTGCATTTGCTTCTCAAATTGCATCTAGCTCCTTCGAGTCCAGGTAATACCACAGTTCAGTTGAATATAACCCTGGTGACCCTAACCCAGAAGCTCCACTGGGTTTGTTCCAACTCCAACAAAAGGAATAAACTTTCCATTCCAGGCTTACATATCTTCTGTAGAATGTGTCATGTAACTAATTTATGCCTTACCCTTCCTTCGAAGTCCTACTCAAGTCCTAGCACCTCCTTAAAGCCTTTCCAATCATTCCAGTCATTGCTAAGTGTTCCTTCCTCTCATCTCTTATAGCTCCAATTGTCCATAATGTTCATTTCTTTTATTTATGTACATTCCACAAACATTAATTGAGTACCTACTATCTGCCAGACACTGAGCAGATACAAGGACGCTGCTGTGAACAATGAGATGCAGCTGCCACCCCAATGGAACTTGTGGGCTAATAGAAGACACAATATGAAACAAACATTTACGCAAGTATACACTATGTATGTGTGTGTGTATAGATATAATATATACACAAATATATAAATATAAATATTTGTGTGTATGTGTATATTTACAAATCAAGGTAAGTGCTATGAAGAGAAAGTATGAAGCATTCAGAATAGACTTCTCTCATTTATTTTTTTCTGTGAATATTCTAGTTTAATCATCAGCTCCTTGAAAACAGAGGTCATCTTTTATGTCACTTGGTTAAGCTCAGAATCTCACTCATAGTAGAGGTGCAGTGAGTTTTTATTAAGGATGATAGTGACAATGAACACTGTTGTTTGGGAATGACTCTTAAGTACCAAGAGCTGAGGAAATGACACTTCTCTCTGTATCCCTGCAAAACGAAAGCAGCCTATGAAGCGCATTCTTATTGCATTAGTTTCGAACACAAGAAACCACTTGTTTGTGTTTTATCTCTGGCAAGGATCTGAAAATCGTTTTGAAATTCCTACTTAATTATCCCAAATGTACATGCACTTCCATCCTGTCTCCAAATTACTGATTTTTAGGATTGAGCCCAGTGGTGTGCTGGTGAATGTTCAGCAACTAATTCTCTCAAATAAATAATTGACAGATTTGTGGCATTTGCTGATTTCTTTTGGTTTAAATACTCCCATGGCCAATTTGAAGCCATCAACATACTACTACTAAACTTAGAGATGGGAAGAAATGCACAGTAACACATTTTAAAAATACCATACAGATACAGTAGACATAAATATCCCCAAGAGCATAGTTAATAGTAAAATGTAGCATTTGAGTATTATTTGTGATGGTGTTTGAGTATTTATTATCTTTTTGTATGCACTTCATTTAATTATAAGTTCATATAATTCAATTTTTTTTTTTTTGAGACAGTCTTGTTCTGTCGCCCAGGCTGGAGTGCAGTGGCGCAATCTTGGCTCCCTGCAAGCTCCGCCTCCCAGGTTCACACCGTTCTCCTGCCTCAGCCTCCCAAGTAGCTGGGATTACAGGCATGTGCCACCACACCCGGCTAATTTTTGTATTCTTAGTAGAGATGGGGTTTCGCCATGTTGGCCAGGCTGGTCTCGAACTCCTGACCTCAGGTGATCCGCCGCCCTCGGCCTCCAAAAGTGCTGGGATTACAGGCGTGAGCCACTGCACCCAGCCTATAATTCAACTTTTAATAATGTCTGTTTATCAGCTGGCTCACAAAATTCCTAAAAATTTAACAATTGGCTCCCATGAAATGGCTTCCTACTGACTGTGCAGCTTAACACACCCCTATATGTTCCAGATGGGATCTGACTGTGCTCTACTGGGTCTTTTAGTTACACAAAGGGGAGAAAGCAAAGTTGACTCTTGCTAACTGACCACCAACTCCAACTCCCTCCCCAGCTTTGCAGAACAGCTAAGAATTACACTGAAAGCTTCAGTGTAGCAAATATTACAAGTTAGATGACCCAAGACCCATTCTTGACCATTTTCTCCCTTGGCTACCTCTATTTACCAATATGCCTGAAGAAAAGGCCAGGAGAATTGAACAACTATTAGCCATAGGTTTAGTGGGCTCCCAGACTAAAACCAAACCCACAGATTCCAGATTCCAACATCAGACTTGTGAGGGAAAAAGATTTTTTTTTTTTTTTTTGAGACAGAGTCTTGCTCTGTCATCTGTCATCCAGGCTGGAGTGCAGTGGTACAATCTCAGTTCACTGCACCCTCCTCCTCCCAAGTTCAAGCAATTCTCCTGCCTCAGTCTCCCTGGTAACTGGGATTATAGTCGCACATCAGCACACCGGCTAAATTCTGTATTTTTAGCAGAGACGGGGCTTCACCACGTTGGCCAGGCTGGTCTCAAACTCCTGACCTCAGGTGATCCACCCGCCTCAGCCTCCCAAAGTGCTGGGATTACAGGCGTGAGACACCAGGCCTGGCCGATCTTCTTTCTTTATGCTCTTGTGTTGAGTTTTCTGTTATTTACAGCCAAAGCTATTCCTACCCCATACACACAGGAATTTTACGTCTTGTAGCTTCTATTACCCCAAGAGCTAGAAAGGGAATAAGAGGAAAGGCAACTCATATGCCAAGCATGGTGCTGGGTGGTTTCCAAGCTTCATCCTCTTTAAGTTTCACAACAACTTTATGAGAGATGACATTTCACAAAAATGTGTCATTTATTATGGTTGGTCATAATTTCTGTTCTTAAGGACTATCCCACAGCACTGAAGTTATGTGGACTTTGAAAAATTAATTTCAGCATAAATGTACAAAGGTTTGAACACTTATCCTTCTTCAGCAAATTAAAAATACATCACACAGACATTTCCTTGGGGTAAATTAGACAAGAACTGCATACTGCCAAGCAACCAAGGTTCAGTTAACAACACACTGGAAACACCTTTCCTTTTGTCAAAGTTTGCCTGGGTTTCAAGGAGATTAAGGAAAAGGTTGTCCTCCTCGGGGCTTGGTGGCATCCACTGAGGAGGAGGAGGCAGTGGCACTTTCTTTGGTGTGGGCTGGTCCTCTCTTAGGCAGGCCATAGACCTGTGTTTCCCAGGAGTCTACAACTCTCCCAGCGAGAGTCAGGAGGGAAATGAAGGAGAAAGTACACTTCCAGGGCTCAATCAGCCAGTCCACCAGGAGTTAGAAGTCCCTGAGCCTTCATTGTATATGGACACAGGAGGCTTCCCTGGTATGAGTCAGGAGGACTGGGAAACTACAGAAGGTGGTGAGGGACAAAAGACAAAAGGAGAGTCAGGGTGACAGAAGCCACATCATAGAAACAACAAACCACAGAGAAAACAAACAAAAAAAACATGGACTTTGGAGTCAGACAGATCTGACTTCAAATCTCAGTTCCATCACTTAACTAGCTATGTTCCCTGAGACTACTGTTTTGTCTAAGCTCCTTTCTGGATTTCTGAAAACACATCTCCTATGCCACAAAGAGAGTGTGAGATTGAGTCTAAACCAATCACGGCGTCAGAAGCATTCAAACCAGAGCGACTCCATCTTGAATAGGGGCTGGGTAAAATAAGGCTGAGACCTACTGGGCTGCATTCCAAGGAGGTTAGGCATTCTTAAGTCACAAGATAAGATAAGAGGTCAGCACAAGATACAGATCACAAAGACCCTGCGGATAAAACTGGATTGGGGGGGTGGGGGGCAGGGGAAGACAGCTAAACCCCACCAAAACCAAAGTGGTGACAAAATTCCTCATTGCTCATTATATGCTAATTATAATGCATTAGCATGCTAAAAGACACACGCCAGCATCATGACAGTTTACAAATGCCATGGCAACATCTGGAAGTTACCCTATATGGTCTGAAAGGGAGTAGAACCCTCAGTTCTGGGGTTCTTCCCTTTTCCAGGAAACTCATGAATAATCCACCCCTTGTTTAGCATATAATCAAGAAATAACAGTAAAAATAGCCAACCAGCAGCCCTCAGGGATGCTCTGCCTATGGAATAGCCATTCTTTTGTTTCTTTATTTCCCTAATAAACTTGCTTTCACTTTACTCTATGGACTCACCCTGAATTCGTTCTCAAACCCTCTCTTGGAGTCTGGATCAGGACCCCTTTCGGTTAACAATGGTACCCATTTTCCTCCACAGAGACAGACAGCAGAGGGGCTGGCCTTGCTGGCCAGAGTCCCTCTCCAGGATCTGGTTAAGTGGGGCTGGCAGTAGTCCTTTCGTCTCTAGCTGCAGTGTTACGGAGTGAATCTAAGCTGTGCACAGCCATATCCTCATTCTTGTGAGGACATCTGTCTGTAAAAGGGATGAATAGACTTGACAAAGACAGAAGCACAGATAGGAGAAAGAACGTTGTTGGTTTCAATGTTCCAAGCTTCTCAGTTCCAGGAACTAATAACACTCCTTTCCTTTGAAGCAAGTTTGAGCTCAATTTCTGTCACATGCAACAAGTCCAAAGCCCATCTGTAAAGTAGGAATAGTAATACCTAATCCTAAGATGTTGTGAAGATAAAATAACCTGCAACAAAGAACTCAACAGTTCAGCCTGCTTGTGACTGCTTGGTATCTGCTTTAACAGACACCATGTATTTGTTCATCAAAGTGTCACTATCACCAATGAACACTAATTACACGAGCTGTTACTAGATTTTCTTTGGGAAGAAAATAACGAAGAAATGATTTGAGAAATGCTTAACAAAATCCTTCCTAAGAGACTTTCCAGAGTTTCCAATCTTCAACTCTGCATCATGAATTCCCAACTACACAAAGTAATATGACCACAAAACCCTATGTCAAAGAACATCCGTGAACATCTTGGGAACTGCTCTATGATATATGTGGCTAACTCAGTAGTTGTGCTACGGTAAATATTGCTGCAGTGAGAGTTTGACTTTCTGATGCCTTTCAGTTCCTTTTCTACAGGAGCAAAAGTCTGACAGCTTTTACACCAGCGCTGGCAATTACTATAAGACTTGGAAAAGTCACTTCTACTCCCTGAGCCTCAGTTCCTTTATTTGTAAGATGACAATGTTAGACTCTATGACCTTTTAAGCATCCATGCAACTATGTGTTTCTTTGCTTGTGGGAGTATAGAAGGTTCTGGGAGGATCAACTGTACTGTATGGACATCCTGGGTCTATAAGGGTCAAGAAAAGCCCAGGTGTTGAGTGAGAAAAAGGGAGCAGAAATGGTATACAGCATGAAGGTTCAGAGCAGACACCAGGATCAGCTAAGCTATTTGGAGATTGTATTCCAGTATTCTAATGTAAGTAATCTTTGGATTAACCAAACTTTCTTAAATTGAGGCTTCTTTTGACATCAAATTCTGCGGATTCATACATTTTAGGTTTGAATGGAACAAAATCAAAGCCTTGAAAAACAAAGACTTAATGTGACTGAATGTTTGCTCTATGGGTCCTCAAAGGCCAAGAAAACCTAACAAAAAAAGGTGATGAGGAACAAAGATCATACAACTCAGACCTCTAAACTCCTGAATGTTGTGTTTCTTATGTTCCTATTCAGTTCAAATTTAACCAAGATACCCATAAACTGAACCCTCCTCTCTTCTGCTATCCTGAGCTAACCAGCAGAAAACCTTCATAGGGATGCTTAGTAAGCATGAAGAATAAAGAGTCATAAAATAACGAAGGAAAAGATCCTTTGAAAATTGAAAAACACTCCACAAATATATTATTTTTATTATTATTCATCTGTTTAAAGTGTAATTTTGGCTTAACCACAGACATGACTTCAGGCAAGTAATTCATCAGCTCTGCCCTTCATATAAAACGAATGCAGTAATGGATGGGAAAGATTAACTAGAAAATGATGGTGAACGTCTTTGAAAATTGAAGGTCACTGCGATGCTTATTAATTAATAGTAGCCATTCAATTGTGATGTTATAAATAGCTTTACACTCCAGCAGCACTCAGAGTAACCTGCTACTTTTTCGCTTGTTGCCATTTTGGTTTAGCCCATTCCTCCACTAACCTATAATTAGCACAACACCCTGGAAAATTAATCCAGCCTGGTGACTCAACATCAGGGAAATGAAACAGACTTCTAAATCATGTTAGAATTAAACTGGATCTCAAGGGCTAAGTCCTCATGGTTTCAGAGGGAACTAAAAGCCTCAAACCCTGATTTTTCAGCTAAATATAGGGGAGTCCATCTTTCTAAACAACTGAGTTTCAACATTGCCATCAAGGTACACATATTTCTTATTAGAATTTTCAATCAGTTATAGAATAAGAAAGAGAACTGCAAGCTGTTACATTATGACTACATATTCTCAAATATTCCTTGTAAGAATGTGCTTTGCAGAAGCTAAACCTGCTAATCAAATTAAGATAAACTGCCCCAATCTCCATCTCCTGGCAGAGATTCTGGGGCCAATCTGAGCAGGAGGGTTTTGAGGGGCTGGACTGGCAGAGGAAGTCTTCTGCTAGAAACTATGCAATTGCTGAAATCTGAGCATTCTAAGAGCCCATGGAAAGAGGTATCCAATAGCCAGAAGAGACCACAATGCAGATCAAAAGCAATATGGAAAGCTGGAATATGGAACCAGCTATCCAGGAGCAGGGAGATGAAAATGAGGATCAATGGGGTAAAAATGGATGGTGTGGGCTGGGCGCCTGGTGGCTCACGCCTGTAATCCCAGCACTTTGGAGACCAAGGCGGGTGGATCACCTGAGGTCAAGAGTTCAAGGCCAGCGTGGCCAACATGGTGAACCCTTATCTCTACTAAAAATACAAAATGATCCAGGCAGGCATGGTGGCAGGCGCCTTTAATCCCAGCTACTTGGGAGGCTGAGACAGGAGAATCGCTTGAACCTGGGAGGCAGAGGTTGCAGTGAGCCAAGATCGCACCATTGCATTCCAGCCTGGGTGACAAGAGTGAAACTCCATCTCAAAAAGGACAGTGTGTGCTTGGGGCACTTCTCCCAAAACAAGCTTTGCTTGCTTCACCTGGCATATAGTGTCACGGGTAGGTCAGTATGCTGAGTTAAAGGCTAGGAACTAGGTCATCAGAGAAATAAATAGATCCTTTCACCTTTCTCTTTTTTTGCTAAATTTTTTTCACTTTCTAAATTAAATAGCCCCAGTGTCCTTTCCTTGTAAATGCTTATTAGCTTTGGCTGTTTTGTTTCCAATTGTTTGCATGGGATATGATTGTGGAAGTCTGCAGGCAAACTTTCCTAGTTAAATCTCAACTCATCTAAGGCCAAAGCCATCACCTTTCCTTCTAGTCGAACTCTGACTTCAGAAAATACCACCAGTATTGTTTCAATTACCCAGTCTTAAAATCTAGTAGTCTTCCCTTTCCCTTGATCATCAAATCTAATTACCAGCTCCTGCAGAATTTACCTTACTTCTGCAAGCTGCTTTTCATTCTCATCACCCAGCTGTTTATTTGATCTTTTATATCCAATGCACTAATGCCAGTTTAATCTTCTTAAAGTACAGCTTCAATCATGGTATTCCCTGACTCAAAACATTTAATGGTTGCCTATTGCCTAATGAATCAAGGAAAAGTCCTGGGTTTGGTAGTCAAAACCTTGGTCTTAACTCCCATGTCTCCTCTCTATTTGACAATCCAATATCATGCATTTTTTAATGCTATGGACTATCAGGTATGAATCCAGCTCAACTACTATAAGTAAAATGTATTCCAAAGTGGAGGCAGTGGAACCAATTTGCAGTGCCCAGGAAATAGGTCTGCCTTAGTGATGGGGGCTGAGAACAACTCATTGCTGCTGCTGCTGGAAAAATAGCTAAAAGCTAATGTTGGGTTGTCATTAGATCAGTCAGATTATCAATCACATTATTTCTTAAGTGAAGGACAATACCACATTAAATTTCAAATGACTCTCCATTGAGGAATATACTGTCTTTACTAAGGGACAGGGAAACTTAAGAATTATTTTTCTTCAAGCTTTCTCCATTGACCATACTGACTTTTTTTTTTTTCCCAGCACAGACTCAGAACCTAGATTCCTATAAAAGTAATTGCTCTTGGCCAGACACGGTGGCTCACACCTGTAATCCCAGCACCTTGGGAGGCCAAGGAGCGGGGACAGATCACTTGAGGTCAGAAGTTCGAGACCAGCCTGGCCAACATGGAGAAACCCTGTCTCTACAAAAAATACAAAAATTAGCCAGGCATGGTGGCATGCACCTGTAATCCCAGCTGCTTGGGAGGCTGAGGCAGGGGAATCACTTGAACCCAGGAGGTGGAGGTTGCAGTGAGCCGAGATCACAACACTGCATTCCAGCCTGGGCGACAGTGAATGAGACTCCATCTCAAAAAAAAAAAAAAAAAATAGGTTGGGTGCGGTGGCTCATGCCCGTAATCCCAGCACTTTGGGAGGCCAAGGTGGGCAGATCATGAGGCCAGGAGATCGAGACCATCCTGGCAAACATGGTAAAACCTCATCTCTACTAAAAATACAAAAATTAGGTGGTTGGGGTGGCACGTGCCTATAATCCCAGCTACTTGGGAGGCTGAGGCATGAGAATCACTTGAACCCAGGAGGCGGAGGTTGCAGTGAGCAAAGATCATGCCACTGCACTCCAGCCTGGCAACAGAGCGAGACTCCATCTCAAAAAAAAATGATAAAATGAAGTAAATAATAAAAAATTAAAAAAATAAAACTAATTGCTCTCTTTCCCCAATATTATCGTTTTTCTGTTTTTTTATTTTAAGACAGAGTCTCACTCTGCCGCCCAGGCTGGAGTGCAGTGGCGTAGTCTCAGCGCACTGCAACCTCTGCCTCCCGGGTTCACGCCATTCTCCTACCTCAGCCTCCTGAGTAGCTGGGACTACAGGCGCCTGCCACCATGCCTGGCTAATTTTTTGTATTTTTAGTAGAGATGGGGTTTCACCATGTTAGCCAGGATGGTCTTGATCTCCTGACCTCATAATCCGCCCGCCTCGGCCTACCAAAGTGCTGGGATTACAGGCGTGAGCCACCGTGCCTGGCCACTATGCTTTAAAAGAAAACATTAGCAAGCTGAATCCCAGTACCATATATAATGAATTATACACCTCGACCAAGTGGGATTTACTCCAGGAATGCAAGGTTGGTTTAATATCTGAAAATCAATTAATGCAACACATCATATCAACAGAATTCTTTTAATGACATGATTATCTCAATAGATGAAGAAAAAGCATTTGGAGACAAAGATCCAATACCTTTCATGATAAAAAAATAATAATAAGGAAAAAAAGAACAAAAGAGACCTCTCTCAACTTGATACAGGCATCCATGAAAAACCCACAGCTAACATCATTCTCAATGGTGAAAGACCGGGTATTTTCCCCATAAGATCAGTAGCAAGACATGGATGGCTGCTCTTACCACCTCCATTCTACACTCTACTGGAGGTTCTAGTCAGGGCAATTAGGCAAGAAAAATAAATAAAAGACAACCAGATTGGAAAGATATATTATCTTATATATCATTAATATACAAGATAACAACATGATCTTGCGTATTAAAAATCCTAAGGAATTCACAAAAACTATTATAAATAATAAACAAATTCAGCAAGGTTGCAGGTTACAAAATCAATACATAAAATTCAATTGTATGTTTATACACTTGCAATGAACAATTCAAAAGTGAAATTAAGAGAACAATTCCATTTATAATAGCACCAAAAGGTAAAATATTTAGAAACAAATGTCCTGAAGAAGGACAAGACTTGACCGGGTGTGGTGGCTCATGCCTGTAATCCCAGCACTTTGGGAGGCCAAGGAGGGTAAATCACTTGAGGTCAGGAGTTCGAGACCAGCCTGACCAACACGGTGAAACCCCGCCTCTACTAAAAAAAAAAAAAAAAAATACAAACACCGGGCACAGTGGCTCACACCTGTAATCCTAGTATTTTGGGAGGCTGAGGCGGGCGGATGACCTGAAGTTGGGAGTTCGAGACCAGCCTGAACAATATGGAGAAACCCCACCTCTACTAAAAATACAAAATTAGCCAGGCGTGGTGGCAGGCACCTGTAATCCCAGCTACTCAGGAGGCTAAAGCAGGAGAATCACTTGAACCCTGGAGGCAGAGGTCACAGTGAGCCAAGATCACACCATTGCACTCCAGCCTGGGCAACAAGAGCAAAACTCCATCTCAAAAAAAAAAAAAGTCAGATACTTAATACTTATTACTAAGTATTAGAGAAGATGTGTAGAAATCAAAACCCTCATACACAGCTGGTGGGAATATAAAATTGGAAAACAATTTGGCAGTTCCTCAAAAAATTAAATATAGAATTAACATTTGACCCGCAATCCAAGTCCTAGGTTTATGTCCAAGAGAAATGAAAACATATATCTACACAAAAACTTTTACTTAAATGTTTATAGCATCATTCATAATACCCAAAAGTTGGAAACAACTCAAATGTCCATCATGAATAGATAAACAAAATATCCATATAATGGAATACTATTCAGCCATAAAATGGAATGATGTACTAATGCATGCTACAACATGAATAAATCTTGTAAAGGTATGCTAAGTGAAAGAAGCAGACTCAAAAGATCACATAAGATTCCATTTATATGAATTTTCTAGAGTAGGCAAATCTATAGAGACCAAAAGTAGATTAGTGGTTGCTTATCTCTGGGGGCGTTGGGGGAAACAGGGAAATGGGAGAGTGATAGCTAAAGGCTACAGAGTTTCCTTTTAGGTGATGAAAATGTTCTGAAATTGCCAACAGTGATAGTTGCACATATCTGTGAATGCATTGAAAACTAGAATCGTACATTTTAAATGGGTAAATTGTATGGTATGTAAATTATACATCTCAAGAAAGCTGTTACCAAAAAAAGTCAATACTCAATTAGAGTATTCAAGGTATGAACATTGATGACAATTTTCTGGTTGCCTTTTTTTTTTTTTTTTTTTTTTTTAGAAAAAACAAACATATAGTATATAATGGATATAGATTTGTATCCATCAAAATCCAGTACATTAAATATCATTTTACTTTGCTTTTTCTGAAACTAATTAAAACTCACCTGAACCTTCATTTGCCAAAATATCGAGACATTGAATTACAGTTTTAATTAGGGCTCCCCCACTTACCTTCCAGGAGGATTTATTCAGGTTGCAGGGCTCCTCTGCAATCAAGAGCATCAAGAAGGGCCCACTGGTACATGGTGGGTACTTCCTGATGCTTTTGTCTGCAGAAGAACTGGTTAACTGGTTAATACTGGTTAACAGTGAAAGGACAACAGTCTAAGCTTGCATAGGCTAAAGTACTTTGAGGAAAGGTGGTTCTGGGGCTCCTCTGCCCTGCCCTGCTAGAGACTGAGGGATTTTCTGAGACTAGAAGTCCTGGGACCCAACCAGTCACTTCTCTTTGAGCTCTTTCTACTCCCCTGGCCACTGTGAGCCAGCAATACAGATCAGCTTGCTTAAGACCATCCCTCCTACTGAGAACAACTAGAAAAGCTGGGAAGAATACAGGAAATACCAGTTTGAAGGCACTGGAAAGTTTCTAAGAAAACGTGAACTCAAAGGACCAATCCCAAAGAGAAAGGAAGTACAGAGAGGTGAACCCATCATTTGGTATTGCTTTTCCTTTAATGTTTTTGCTGATTCCTAATCAGCAACTGAGAAGCCCAAAAGCTGAAGAGAGCTTACAGGGCTGAGATGACAAGAATTGGAGATCAGGAGCCATTAAAGAGGAGGTACTCTGGTAAGCACCATAGGATTTCATTTGATATGGTAATATGTTACATAGCTGGCTGCTAGTGAACCAAACCTTCCAGGATTTATGCCTATGGGTGGTCCTCTTCACATTGGTTTCGGGCTTAGCCATATAATTTGTTTTCTTTTGTTTGTGTCTTGAGAGATGGGGGTCTGGCTACATTGCCCAGGCTGGAGTGCAGTATTCACAGGTGTGATCATAGCACACTCCCTCCTCAATCTCCTGGCCTCAAGCAACCCTCCTGTCTCAGCCTCCTGAGTAGGTGAGAGTACAGGTGTACACCACTGCATCTGGCTTATGTGATTTGTTTTTATCAATAGTACATTAGTAAAGGTGAAACAAACAAAGATTAAATATGAACTTGCTCACTGGGACTTGTACTTTTGGATTTCTCCCTGTTAGAATCTAGCCTCCATGCTTAAGTCAAGGTTATCCCAGTGGAGAAATAGGCCATGTGGAGAGGCCCTCGGGGATGGAATATTGTATAGAGATGCCATGTGAAAACTTACTAAAATGCCCCAGCCAAGTGCCCAGCTGAATGCAGCTTTACGAATGATCCCAGCCAATACCAAATGAAGAACTGTTCAGTCGACCCAGATAATTGCCAGAAATCACTATTGTTTTAAGCCACAAATATTGAAGTGGTTTGAGATACAGCAATGAACAACTAAACCAGTTGGGAACCCTAAAGAATCCTACAAGTAAGATGGGCCAAAAATAGACTAGCCCTCACAAAGACTGAGGTCCAGAAACCCACAGAAACCCTCCTAATCCCTGATTGAATTAAGTTGCTTTTTTTTTTTTTTTTTTTGAGGCGGAGTCTTATGTGTTGCCCAAGCTGGAGTGCAGTGGCACGATGTCAGCTCACTGCAACCTCTGCCTCCCAGATTCCGAGTAGCTGGGAATACAGGCGTGCGCCACCACGCCCGGCTGATTTTTGTATTAGAGACAGGGTGTTACCATATTTGCCAGGCTGGTCTCGAACTCCTGACCTTGTGATCCACCCACCTTGGCCTCCCAAAGTTTGCTTATTTTTTATTTTTTATGGCAGTAAGTCTTTATTTTTCATACAGGGTTCCACTGCAGGTAACCATCAGAGAACACCTTGCTATTTTCAAATATACAGACTGAACAAAAGCATTTTAGCATGCTGCCTTACTGTACATAGAAAACTGGTGAACATCTTCAGACACTAAGACCAGGAAATAAAATGGGTTAATGCTATTTGTTGATACGTTTATGAATCACTCAGCAGTGTTAATATAAGCTATCTTTACCTGAAAACAGAATTACAATCACTCACTCTGGCAGCACTGGGCAATTCCAAAATGCAGGTCTAGTGAAAGGTAGGTACAACCAGCAAGCAAGCAAGGATCAGATGCCATGTCTGCTTCTGAAGGGAGTGACTGATTTGGAACCAGGCTCTGCAGATTTTAAGAATTGATGCAGCCATCTTAACAGCTTAATATTGAGTTTCCCCTACTTTGTATGTTGGCAGTCAACAAAAGTGAGAATTTCTGAAACAAGCTAAACAGGATTAAAAAGCAAAACACTGTCCATGTAACAACGGAATTGCTGCTTCACAACTTTTGCCCAGTTCTCACCTGTTGTCCTACAAAAACCTCTCATCTGATAAGTTTTTGTGAAAATCTCTAGCAACCATAACAGACTTTTCTCAACCCAGCTCTAGATACTAAGTATCAGAAACAAGGCTTGTGAAGTGGATGTGTCCACAGGAAAATGCAGTGTTTCTACTGGAGGTAAGTGTCAAGCTTCCTCTTGATGTTGTCAAAGGAATCTGCTCCCATATAATCGGTCTAGCCCTGTTCCCACCGCTCCTTCCATTCTTCTGAGGATACACAGACTGTGCCATAGCTGGGATCCCCCCAAGGGACAGATGTGATATGGCTCCTGAGACATTTTCCACATTTACGTATGAGAAGGTGTCTTTGACAAGGCCAAATTGTTGAAGCAGAGGTAAAACGGTGGTGGTAAAGATGTTCCACCATAGGATGAGAAACTCTGGATGAGTCACGTTGGGATGGTGGGACTCATTTTTGACACTTTTTGTTTTGGGATCATAAGTATAATTCCATGGTTTGACTTGTCCCAGGAAATGCACAACTTTGGCACTTGCACCAAACACTTTAAATGCTGGGAGGTAGGACTATATAGAGATGCAGCTTAGGCTATAAATAAATGGCAGGTGTTTTCTGATATCTGTTGTTGCCCAGCTGCGAAAAAATGTGTTCCGTATGCCTTGTTCTCCACCATCAAAACTACCTTGCTCAGAAGCAAGATGCAACAGCTGATTATATGTTTCAACTGAAGGCTGATAAATTCAGAATTGAAGCAGTCAGGCCACCCTGGGTCAGGTGCTGCTGACAATTCTTCTGTCTCAAAAAGATCATCAATATTTGCTAGGACCAGAGTATCTGCACCCATGAATACACATTTTGAATACTATGTAAGTGACCAGCAGTGGAGCTTTGTCAGCCTGACACCCAACTCTGGCCTCTTCATTAAGGTTAGATGAGCAGAATCACCACTGTCCAAGACATCTACCACGATGATTTCATCAAAGACTGTCTCTAAAACTTTTCTCATGGAGTCTGAGACCTGCGGGGTGGCGAGCATGACTAGTCTTCTGGTGGTCCTGTGCTGTTTCAGAGATGAGCCCAGGACCAGGGCACCTTTGGTGTAGGCATCATTTGTGGTCAGTGTCACAAAGACCTGATCTGTCATGGTGCTGCCAGAGGCGCAGGTGGGCCAGGGCAGCCGCAGGTTGGTGGCTCAGAGAAGCTGGTGCCTGGAAGGAGCGTGGCCAGTGAGGAGGCACAGCAGGACTTAAGTTGCTTATTATATGTATTCCCAACCGCTTGTTGAAACTAAAGTGAATCCTCCCTTAAATAACATATCAACTAGAACCTCAGGTCATCTCTATAGTTTTTAAAACACAATTTTCCATTTCAAAAAACTATGCTGATAAAAATATAAGAAGTGACTGATAATCAAGAGAAAAAATCAGACAATAGAAACAGACCCACAAGAGATCCAGGTATGGAAGTTATCAGACACAAACTATAAAACAGTTGTGATTAATATGTTCGAGAAATTAAATGACAAGATAGTTTCAGCACAGATGTGGAACTCATAAAAAATTGAAGTGAATTTATAGAAATATATACAATAACTAAAATTAAGAACACAATAAGTAGACTTAACAGCAGATTAGGCCAGGCGCGGTGGCTCACATCTGTAATTCCAGCACTTTGGGAGGCCAAGGCGGGCGGATCATGAGGTTAGGAGATCAAGACCATCCTGGCTAACACGGTGAAACCCCGTCTCTACTAAAAATACAAAAAATTAGCCAGGTGTGGTGGCAGGCACCTGTAGCCCCAGCTACTCGGGAGGCTGAGGCAGGAGAATGGCATGAACCCAGGAGGCGGAGGTTGCAGTGAGCCAAGATCACGCCATTGCACTCCAGCCTGGGTGACAGGGCAAGACTCCATCTCAAAAACAAAAACAAAAACAAAAACAAAAAAAAAACAGAAGATTAGATATAGCTGAGGGAGAATCTGTGAATGAGAAGAGAGGCAGAAGAACATATTGAGATTAGCATGAAGAGACAGAAGAATATAACACTTTAGGAGGCCAAGGCAGGAGGATCACTTGAGCCCAGGAGATTTGGGACCAGCCTGGACAACATAGTGAGACCCTGTCTCTACAAAAAAAATTTTACAAATTAGCCAGGCAGGTAGCTCATGTCTCTATTCCCAACTACTTGGGAGGCTGAGGTGACAGGATTGTTTGAGCCCAGGAGATTGAGGCTGCAGAGAACTAGGATCACACCACTGCACTCCAGCCTGGGCAACAGTGTGAAACCCTGTCTCAAAAAAAAATTATAAAATAAAAAAACAAACATAGGAGACAAATGTGATTTGGTGAAAAGGTCTCACATTTATGTAATTAATGTCCCAGAAGGAGAAGAGAGCGACAATGAAACAAAAGCAATAGATGAAGAAATAATGACCAAGAATTTTCCAAGCTAATGAAAGACCTCAAAACACATATTCAACAAATTCTACAAACTCCATTAAGATAAATATAAAGAAAGCCACATCTAGACATATCACACTAAAACTGCTTCAAGGCAAGACAAAAGACAAAAATTGTACACTGCATAAGAAAACAAAACTCAACTTTTCATTCAACTTTTCATTCCAAAGTGGTTACCTAGGAAGGCTAATTGGTTTTGTCTCCTTACTGGGTTCTCCACCTTCACTTTTCCTCCCTTCTAAACCATTCTCCAAACTGCAGTTAGGTTGATCTTTCTACAGTTTAAGTAGCATCACTTCCGTCCTCTGCATAAATGTTACTGTGACTTCTCATTCCCTCAGAATAAAGTTCAATTTCCTTATTACAGTTTGAGCGGCCCTCTTGGAACTGGTGTCTGTCCACCTTCCTAGCTTCTTTTCTCACTACTACATGTTGAGTATCTCTCATCTGAAATGTTTGGGACCACAAGTTTTTCAGATTTTGGACATTTTTGGATTTTGGAATATTTGAGTATACAGAATGAGATACCTTAGGAATGAGACCCAAGTATAAACACAAAAGTCATTTGTTTTATACAAATCTTATTTTTATTTATTTACTTATTTATTTCTTAGACAGAGTCTCACTCTGTCGCCCAGGATGGAGTGCAGTGGCGTGATCTTGGCTCACTGCAACCTCCGCCTTCCAGGTTCAAGCGATTCTCCTGCCTCAGCCTCTCGAGTAGCTGGGACTACAGGTGCGTGCCACCATGTTGGCTAATTTTTTTTTGGTATTTTTAGTAGAGACGGGGTTTCACCATGTTAGCCAGGATGGTCTTGATCTGCTGACCTTGTGATCCACCTGTCTTGGCCTCCCAAAGTGCTGGGATTACAGGCATGAGCCACTGCGCCCAGCCTTTAAACACACCTTATACACCTAAGCTGAAGATAATTGTATTGACTGATTGATTGATTGATTGATTGAGACGGAGTCTCCCTCTGTCGCCCAGGCTGGAGTACAGTGGAGCAATCTCAGCTCACTGCAACCTTCACCTCCTGGGTTCAAGCAATTATCCTGCCTCAGCTCCCGTGTAGCTGAGCTCACAAGTGTATGCCACCACGCCCAGCTAATTTTTTTTTTTTCAGATGGAGTTTCACTCTTGTTGCTCAGGCTGGAGTGCAATGGTGCAATCTTAGCTCACTGCAACTTCCATCTCCTGGGTTCAAGCGATTCTCCTACCTCAGCCTCCCAAATAGCTGGGATTACAGGCGCCCACCACCATGCCTGGCTAATTTTTTGTATTTTTAGCAGAGACAAGGTTTCACCATACTGGCCAGGGTTGTCTCGAAGTCCTGACCTCAGGTGATCTGCCTGCCTTGGCCTTTCAAACTGCTGGAATTACAGGTGTGAGCTATCACTCCCTGCCTGAAGATAATTTTATACTAGGTCGATGCAAAAGTAATTGAAGTTTTTGCCATTGCTTTTAAAGGCAAAACCTCAATTACTTTTGCACCGACCTAATACAAATTTTTAATTTTATGCATGAAACAAAGTTTGTATACATTGAACCATCAGAAAGCAGAGGTGTCACCATGTGAGCTACTGATATGGACAATCTGTGATTGTCTGGCATCATCATCATTCCTGTCTCTGAATATATATGCTACCCATAAGCAATTTTTTTCTTATACCATTCACACTTAAGTACTTAACAGTAAAAAGTATGGCATACCCTTAATACAGTGAAAAAATAATGTGTTCAGGGTACCTAAATAGGGCAGTATCATCCCCAGAATACCTATATTAGCTGTTAAACAACAACAATAACAAACAATGGCAGGCTTTCAGTTTCTACCCATGTTTTGTCTGCAATCCATCACATGAAGTCAAGTGCAGAGTTCTCCACTTGTGGCATCACGTCACCACTCAAGTTTTCAAATTTTGGGGGCTGGGCATGGTGGCTCACACCTGTAATCTCAGCATTTTGGTAGGCCAAGGGAGGCAGATCACTTGAGGTCAGGAGCTTGAGACCAGCCTGGCCAACATGGTGAAACCTCGCCTCTACTAAAAATACAAAAATTAGTTGGACATGGTGGCAGATGCCTGTAATCCCAGCTACTCAGGAGGCTGAGACAGGAGAATTGCTTGAACCTGCAGCAGAGGTTGCAGTGAGCCGAGATGGTGCCACTGCACTCCAGCCTGGGTGACAGAGTGAGACTCTGTCTCCAAAAAAAAAAAAAAAAAAAATTCAAATTTTGGGCTGGGTGCAGTGGCTCACACATGCCTGTTATCCCAGCACTTTGGGAGGCCGAGGTGAGAAGATCACTTGAGCTCAGGAGTTTGAGACCAGCCTGAGCAACATGGTGAAACCCCATCTCTTAATAAGAAGACAAAAAAGAATAAGAAAATACTTTTTTTTTTCAGATTTTGGAGCATTTCAGATTTCAGGTTAGGAATGCTCAATCCATATCTCTCTAGAATTCTATACTCCACTGGCTTTTAATTCCTCCAAATTGCTTTATTCTCACCCACAACAGGACCTTTGCACATGTTGTTCCCGTTCTTTGGAACTTTCTCCCTTCATTTCATATTCCTTTTCCTGGCTTTCCAACCTTACGTCAGATTATAGTTTGAACGTCGTCTTCTCTGGGAAAATTTTCAGTTTTCCTAGACTTGGTAATTACCCCCACAGAGGGCAGAAATTTGCCCCTTATATCCTGAAATTCCCCCATCAAAGCGTCTATCATGCTTTATGACTATTATTTGTCTATTTCCCTTTATTATAGACAGTAAGATCCAAAGGGGTAGAAATTGTGTAATGTTTTTCTCACAATTGTCTCCCTAGTCCTCAGCCTGGCTCAAAGTAGATATTCAATCTATAATTTGAAAACTTACTTATTAACAGTAGAAAACCCTCAGTCTTCAAGATAGTTCATCATACCTTACTTCTCTATGTAGCTATTTTTTTCTTTTCCTTTAGAACCTTTCTAGAGAAAGATGTATGGGAATTGAATGTAATTTAAATTTTTAAAAATCCTCTCAACATTTTCTAGATTTTACTGCAATAAAAATAAAAATGTAAATGAAAAGTATGAATATTCATATCATAGGCCCCACCCCTGCTATCCCAATTCCACAGTTTAAAGTACTCACTTGCTTTCTTCCATGCAAAAAAGTATGATTATACTACTCGCATCCTCAAATGACACTCTGCCTTTTCAGTCACTCCAGGATCCGGTTCCAAAATGGACTTCCTTGTTTTTTGTGGCCTTTTGTGGCTCCTTTCCAGTTTTTATCACAGACTTTGTTTTTCTCTGCTTCCTTCTCTGCTTCCTCTTCTCAGCTAAGCACAGCTTCCTCTGTCATGTTCTATAAACCTGCCACCGTTGATGAGTCTTTTAACGTGCCATCTGATTCAGTCGGCTCTTTCATGACCTTTTAGGTTCTACCTCAAATTTTAGTGGCAAACAATTTTTTTGTTACTTGTTACTTCCTCTCTCCTTGTAATTCATTTCTTAGTAATTAACTCTTCAAACACAGGGCAGAATTGAATGCCCTCACTTTGCCATCATCTAATTTTTGTCTGTGCGAAGAATAGTACCTGGCACCCAGTAAATAGAATCATTTTTATTCTATTTATTAAATTTATTAAATATATTATTTATTGAATAATTATTTATTTATTGAATAAATTTATTCAATTTGTTGAATAAATTCCTCAGCATGTACCTTATGACAGCCTGCTTACATCAGTTTAGATTGCTTTGTTCTTCATATGTCACAGATAAACATTTAAAACTTCATTGTGTACCTGGAAGTTGATACTTAATAAAAATTTTATTTCAATATGTACATTGTGACCCAAACCAATTATAGGCATTCCTTCTTGTCATTGTTGTTCAGAAGTGTGAGGTTTCCTTTTGTTACTTTTAATTAAAAAATTGAGACTTTATTTGCTTTGGATATGAGGCCTAGGCTTTATAATGTCGCCTTTAATGGAAACAACAAATACAGTAACTTCATTTAAAAGTAAACAATAGTGACAAATTCACCCTGTAAATCAAATTGCTGGTATTTATAAACACAGGTGGCAAGTTACTAGGTACGAAGGGTTCGTGGTCCAGGGGAAAATATGCCAGCAGAGTGCAGAGACAATGTCTAGGTACCGGCCCTAATTTAATATTTGGTGTATGTAAAGATCTTCGTGAGTGCTGGGCTGGCAACAGCAGGGGTTTGATGGGATGAAAAAGTAAGGTTAGCTGGATTTCAGGTTCAGGAAGAAACCAGGATGAGGACATTAGAAGATGAACTCAGCAAGTATGTAGGAATAGGCATAGGAGATGAACTCAGCAAGAATGAAGGGATATCCGAATCTTGGGAAAGGGTGGGAAAATAACCTAGAGAACTATGGATTGAAGGAAATTGAAGAGGAAAAATAGCAAGGACTTAGGCCCAGGACGGCTTTGAATGCGGCTCAGCACAAATTCGTAAACTTCTTAAAACATGATGAGATTTTTTAAAAGTTTCATCAGCTACCATTAGCGTTAGAATATTTTATATGTGGTCCAAGACAATTTTTCTCCTTCCAATGTAGCCCAGGGAAGCCAAAAGATTGGACACCCTTGGCTTAGATGGTGGAGTCAAGGGAACTAAAGATATGACCCCAGTGTGCCAATGCCAAAGGTGAGAAGAGAAAGCAAAGAAAGCAGGCCTTTAAAGAGGTAGAGGAATCCTCAAAGGTGGAAAGAAACAGGGATAGGATGCTGCCCAAGAGGCAGGGACAAAGAATCGGAGCCAAAGACTGCGGTAAAAATGTGGGAAGGTGATGTCCACGATGTTCGAACGAGTCCGTGGCCGAAGGAAGTAAGAGTCTGGGTTTCTGGAGGTTTTCATACAGAGAACTGGGATTTAGATTTCGGGCTGGAAAAATATATTTTGGACTCTCAGGGGCTTTCAGGGTAAGAGTTCGGTAGAGTTCAGTCAGCTTGGCGGAGACAGGTAGTCAGTTAATGTTGGAAGGAAAATTCGGACAGCTGGGAATTAATTTCAACGGGTTTAGGGTGATTTCGGCAAGGGCTGGCGGGGCTAGGGTCGAGTGTGAATTTCGTCTTGGGTGGTCCACGCGTCTGGTTTGGGCAGGAATTTCTGTGGGCAGCGAGGCGTATTCAGGCAGCGTTGCGGGTGAATCTGCGTGGGATGAGGGTGGATTTCCTTCAGGACTGCGGTGCATTTCAGGCCGGGGTGGAGGTGCCTCACAGCCGCGGCGCAGGGAATTCCCTCTAGGATGGGGGAGCGGGTCGGGCGGCGCCGGCCAGGGAGGGGAAGTCCAACGGGGGTTCGGAGAGGCTCGGGGGACTCGGACGGAGAGAAGCCGGGTCGCGGCTGCGGAGGCTCGGCCGGCCAAGGGATTTCCGCGACGTTCAGCGCTGCGAGCTGCGCGGCGCTGCGGCCCCTCCCGTCCCGGGGGAACCTGTTGCCGGCGAAACAGGCGGGCGGTGGCGACGATGGAGAAGCCTTCCTCGCCTCTGCCTGGCTGCACGGCAGCCCTTTCACCTTAGGCACGCTCCGCGGCGCGGCCCCTCCCTCCGCTCCTTCGTTTAAAACAAACAGAATACGCCGCCGCCAACCCTAGCCTGCCAACGGCGAGCACGGTCGCCTCCCGTGCCGCTTCCGGGAGCCGAGGCGCGGCCCCGCCGCCCGGGGAGGAGGAGGCGGAGGGGGAGGAGGCCAACATGGCGGCGCGCAGGGCTGGGCCGGGCCGCAGCCGCGCCTGAGCGCCTCACCGCACTAGCTCGGCTCGCAGGACCCAAGCCCGCACCCAGCCTGGCCCGGCTGCTGCGGAGCACCCGGGGCAGGAACGCAGGGGCCAACCTGGGCGCGGAGGCGGCGCGGAGGGTGCGCCGCGCGGCCCGCCAGGCCCGGGACCCGTAGCTTCGCCGTGCGCTGGCCGGGGCGGCCAGGAGGCCCAAGCCATGGAATCGGAGGAGGAGCAGCACATGACCACGCTGCTGTGCATGGGCTTCTCAGACCCCGCCACCATCCGCAAGGCCCTGCGCCTGGCCAAGAACGACATTAACGAGGCCGTGGCACTGCTCACCAACGAGCGGCCGGGCCTCGACTACGGCGGCTACGAGCCCATGGACAGCGGCGGTGGCCCCAGCCCCGGGCCCGGCGGGGGCCCGCGGGGCGACGGCGGAGGTGACGGCGGCGGCGGCGGCCCCTCCCGCGGCGGGAGCACCGGAGGCGGGGGCGGCTTCGACCCCCCGCCCGCCTACCACGAGGTGGTGGACGCGGAGGTGAGGAGGGGCAACCCCAGACCTCTGTGGGAAGCCACTGGGCTGGAGTTCCTGGGAGGGGACACACCCCGCTGGGCTTGGTGTGGGGAGAGAGGGCATTCGACTGGGGCTTTAGTGGGGGCGGGGCGGAGAGAGAGAGAGAAGCCCCAGGCTCCAGTTGGGAACCGAAGTCACTTGATTGGGGGTAAGTGGGGAGAGGGACCCATAGGAGAGGCGTGTGAAAGGGAATTAGGGATGCGCAGCGGAGCTGTGGGTTGGGGTGAGGAGGGGTCCCTTAGGCTTCCGGCTATGCACGCCGACGATGGGGAGGAGGCTCCAGGGCTATCATCCGAGATGGGAGGACAGACACTTGAGCATATAGTGGGAAGGATGCGTGCAGTAGGGGGTCGGAAATGGGGTACTAGTGCACTAGGCTAGGTCGGAGATTTTGTGGCACGAGGTTTCAGTGAAGGATTGGCGGAGGCACCAGGCTCAGAGTCAGAAAAAGCGGTGTGGGCCGGCCAGAGTAGTGGTCTTTGACAGGATCACAGGAAAACTGTTGGGGTTAGGAGTGAGGTTGGGGTTTTAGCCAAGGGTCGGAAAGGGGGGGCATTGAGTAGGATTTAAAATGAAGAGGGAAGGGGCCGCGGCCAGGAATGAGGACTTGAATAAAATCAGGTATGAGAGCAGTGGGGATTGCACTGAGAGGGCAGAGGTGGGAGGCCTGGGCAGGGGTGGGAGCTGAGGAGGGTCTAGGCAGGGATGGGGACTGGAATTGGAAGATAGAGCTGGCACCAGGTCTGGGTAAAGAGGGAGTACTGGTCATCGATAAGGTCAGAAATGAGAGAAAATTAGACCGGGGAAAGAGATGGTAGTCATACTGAGGGTGCTATGCAGAGGGGCGCGGAACAGGGTGGGAGCGCAGTGGGGGTGGAGGAGGAGTCTTGAGGCTAATGGCTTTGATCAGAGACCTCAAGTCTAGGTGGAGAAGACTATGCCTGTTTAGTTTGGGGTGTGAGCAAGGAACGTGGGGGAAGAAAACGGACTCTTCTATAATAAAGAAAAAAGATCGACCAGAAGCAGCAGTGCTTTTGAATAATTACTTTGCAGAAACATAGTAGCTCATGGCAGGAATTTTGGTCAGATTCGTTGGGTAGTTCATTTCAGGGGCCAGTAGAGCAGCTTGGCCTGACCACAGAAAAGCACAGATCTCAAATTATTGGGATTGCGTTATTAGGTAGAGATACGAATTTGGTTCGTTCTTAATGAAGAATTAAGCTTAGTGAAGCTAAGCCTTTTGAAACACTTTTTCCTGAGCAGTGTTATATCCTTTTAATTGTATGCTTTTGCAACAGTTCCTCGGGCTGAAGTAGCTTGAACAAGAAGGTGGCACTTAAAAAGAACAGGTTTCTGCACAAGATTTCTTTGGCTTCCACACTTAGACACAGTTGCTAGATTGCCCTCTGTAACCCACTAACTTAGCTGTATCGTTGACTAGTATATGGAAATAAAGATTGTTACTATTCCTAGTTTGGGAATTTTTTTAAATTCCCATATAATTGAGTAACCATACTTAAGTCATTTTAAGAAATCAGCTTCTCATTGGCAGTTCCTATCACTCCTCCCTCGTTCCTTCTAGTTTTTGACCCAGTTTTGAAATCAAGAAGAAAGCCGTTGCTTTTTCAGAAGGTGTTTGTATAACTCTGCAAAGCTCAGTGTATCCTCATTATGTGAGAAATGTGATTCTTTTTTTCTTTTGTCATACCTTTTAATTTCCTGTGATTGGAAAATCAATTTAAATTACAATGCTTGGTGCATTCATGTTAACATTAGCGCTAACCTTAGCTTACTGCCAGTACATGTAAGTACAAAGAATTGGGAGTGGCTTCTTACGTGAATGGCAGGCTAAGGAGTTTGGTTTGCGGTAAATTAAAATCCATAAAATCTCCATCTTTTCGAAGCAGTGCATCAAGTCCTCATTTCTCCTAGACCTGTGGATTTGGCCTGGGGGAGGGAAGCTGCACCGTTTACTTTTAAGAGTTCAAGAGGAGCTGGTGACTGAGGCTGCTTTACCCACGAAGCGTATTGGCAGAGGTTGGCAGGCTGAGACTTTCCTGACACACAGGAGCCTTTTGGAAACATTTAACGCAGAATGTGCCTCTGTGGTTTAATAATCTTAATGCATGCCACCTATGGAACTTCTTGGTCATCCTTGGTGTACACAGTGGGAAACTGAGGCTCTTGATCTTGGGAAATAGGGAAAGGTAATAAATATTATCCAGCATCTACAGGGTGTCAGGCCCTGTCTTAGGTGCGTTATACAGTTTATTTAACCCTTGGTGAGAGAGTTAACGTAGGCTTTTTAGGGATATGATTATGTAGTGGGTGGCAGGGGCTGAATTTGAACCCAGGTCTCTTTGACTTCAAAGCCAGTGTGCTTTTCACTCTGCTCAACTCATGGTTTTAGGATTAAATTTGTTTGGTAACAGTATGGATAGTAAGGAGAAATAATGAGGGAAAGACATATTTTAAGGCTACTGTGCAATGATGTGGTGAGCACCAACCATTAAGAATCGAATAATGGGTAGAATATAAGGTGAATCAGATTTTTTAAAAAGAAGCATACTTTAGAAATTAATAATTAGTGCAGCTCCCTTGTTTAACAGATGCACCCTTTCGGGCCCCAAAGGGGAAGTGGCTTGTCCCCACAGAGTCAGTTAATAGAAGAGGTGGGGCTAGTACTCAGGCCCTTTTGCTTGAAGTCCTGCACTCTTTCGGGCTCTCTTTCAAAGGAAAAAGGAATGGGACACAGTAATGGGTTAAAGGGAAGGAAGAAGAGTAAAAAAACTGGGTGAAGATTGTCAGCTATTATATAGTTAATCCTTTTTATTTCTAAAAACTGAGTACCTTATTTTAAATTATATACATTTCTATTTGCTGCACAGGACATTTCAGTGTCATTGTCTTCTTTAAAAATGGGAAAAACAGAATAAAATCTAATTGATTAGAAAAGAAAGAAATGACTTAAGTTTTTTTATATTTGTAGTTTGGGGATAGCAATGGTTTTCTCTTAATGCCTTCCTGTCCCAGGGGCAGGGAGTAGAGTGTTGAACAGAACGTGGTGTTTACATTCTAGTGGGTCTTAGTCCAAGCCTCTCATTTTACAAGAAAAGACTGTCCAAGGTCATGTAGCTAGTTAGGTAAATCAGTTTGAGGCCCTGCTGTAATTAGGGTTTGGTTTAAAAATTAATATTTGAACAGTGAAAGCTGTTAACTTCCGGTTCAGTAGAAGCAAGGAGAATGCAGATAAAAAAGACCCAGATATCTAGCAAAACACACAACTGCATAGAAAGCCACCTTGTTAATATCCTCCAATTAAGTAAAGATAGTGTTTTGCAGAAGAGATGTGTTTGGTTCTCACTAGTATTGTTGGATGTAAATGTTCTTGGTCTCTGGGTCTGGAAGGGACTTTGAGAAGCTGTCCAGTTTTGATTTTGAATAGCATTACTTCAAAATCATTCCACGGCACATAAGAGTCTGTTCTATTATTAAAGAGAGTGAGCTCTCACAGCTGCTCTAAATAACTTATTCTGATTTTTAACCACCCCCCTGTCAGAATTCTTCACTCTTTACTGCATGGCTAATGTAAACTCTGGCCTGCCAAGTGCGTACCAATTGGTTCTGTTCTCTACACAACAGGAAGAGTTGGGCCTTTGTAATCTCTCCAGGGGATCAGTAGAAATCTGAACCAGGTATCCTGTGCATCTCACAGAACTTAACAATTATGAAATGTACCTTATCCATAAGGAATACCATCAAACATTAATACTATAATGAATACCTTATTCATTAAGTTTGTCTTTAGAAAATACTAAAATGGAAGTTTTTGGAAGGAGATTTCATATTAACTGAGGAAATACCTTTCTTAGCTGTCTAGTGCTGTTAATTAATATTCCCAGAAGTGACATTTAATACTGTGATCTGATAAACATTGTGAACTCCTTGTTTTGTTCCTGTTTTAATGTGGATGTTCTTTCTGGAGGTATTGTTTTGTCAGGAGTACTTTCAAGATTTCATTGCTTTTTTGTTTTTTTAAGTTTAGAGCCCCAAAGTTGGTCCTGCTGTTAATATATCTAAGTCACATAAAAATAAGAAGCATATTAATTTGTAGTTCCTTAACTTACCTCATTCCTATTTCTCTTGTTCCCCTTTGGTAGTAAGTGGTAATTATAAATGGATTAAAATTGTAATACTGTCAATGTGTATAATTAAGGTTTATGGTAAAATTCATGTTATTCTTTTCCTAAAATACAACAACCCTAGTATGAGTGTGGAGTAAATATCAAATGAGTAGCTTTTAGTTAACTATTAGTGATTTGGTACATGACCTGTGGTTTATGAATTACTGTGATTTGGTAAATAAAAAAAGGCCCTTTAAAGGCTTTAGAGTAAAAAAATGAAATAATTTCCCAAATCAGTTGAAAGTAGATGAAATAAAAATAGGGAATTAAAGATGAATCAGCATGGCCTAATTTTTAAATAAGAATTTCTTTCTGATCCAGTATATGTATATATATCTCCTTTGGGAATTAGGTCTGTGAGTTAATCTAATGGTTGGAGTCTCACCTTGTAATTACCTGCCCATTCACTTTTAGAATGAATGTAATTTGGCATGAAGAGAGTACCTTTCGTGTGTCTGTGAGTGTGGTTTTAGTGAAATCATAGTAGGTTGTGACAGCTTTATACAGCATAATAATATTGTTAGCTTAAATTTTGAAAACAATTTCAATGTTAGAAAAGCAAATGTTGTAATGTTTTAGCAATTTGAGGAAAAGGTTTCAACATTAATAGAAAAATATGTCCATATACTTAAGTATTTTTATACTTACTGCCTACAATATCATATACCATTTACTTGATCTGAGTGTGAAGGAGGGCGTTTTTTACTTTTAATAAGAAAATGTTAAAAAAGATTTAGTAGAATCTGAAATCTGGAGTTCAGTTTTCCTGGAAATTTTCCTTATATGGAACCACAGAGAGAAATAAGAAGTAAACACATAAGATGGAACCATTTCAGAACACCTTCGTACATGCATTAAAGCTCATGCACTCCACTCACTAAGCGCTCTAAGTGCACTAAAGCTCATGCATTTCTTTCATTTGTGTTTAAACTTAACAAAAAATACAGTTCAAACAAGTTTCAATATTAGGTTTCCTATCAAATTAGAATGGTTTTATGGCAATCTAAACACAAGGTGATGAGCTCTTAGAGACAAGCTCATTTGACAATAGTGAGAAGTGACAGTAGCAGCTTAGTGGTCAAGGAGGGAACAGGAAAGCTTTAAAAGCCGACTCAACCAAATCACACTAGCCGATTTGTGTAGGGTGATTTGAAACAGCTTTATTATGTGTTTCATGGCCCTGAGAGGATAACTGTGTTTTCAATGATGTCACAGTCAAGAAGAGGTTCCAGTGTGGTCTGCTTAAGAAGGGTCAGGAATGTTTAATGTATTTTAGAAAGGTTTTCCTTTTAAAAAGAAAAAAAAAGAAGAAGTTGGATGGATAAAGAAGTAGGCTTCAGACACCTGGAAAATTCAGATGTGAGGACATTTCAGTCATGATACTAGATTGCAGAGGTACGACTAAGAGAGTTGTGCTTCATTTTCAAAAGAGTAAATGTTTTTTTCCTCCCTTTTTTTTCTAGGGAGTTTTACTTCCTTTTTTAAGCTTGTATTTTTCATTTTCTTTATCATAGGAATTTTTATTGTTTAGTGTTATCACATTTTTCAGTCACAACTGACATAAAAATTTTCGTTAAGCTCATATTGATAGTAGGTGACATTATTGGGTTTTTTTTGTTTTGTTTTGTTTTTTTAAGATGGAGTTTTGCTCTTTCACCCAGGCTGGAGTGCAGTGGTGTGATCTTGGCTCACTGCAACGTCCGCCTTCCAGTTTCAAGCGATTCTTCTGCCTCAGCCTCCCAAGTAGCTGGGATTACAGGCGCCTGCCACCACGCTCTGCTAATTTTTGTATTTTTAGTAGAAATGGGGTTTCACCATGTTGGCCAGGCTGGTCTCGAACTCCTGACCTCGTGATCCGCCTGCCTCTGCCTCCCAGAGTGCTGGGATTACAGCCGTGAACCACCGTGCCCAGCGCTGTTTTTTGTTTTGTTTTATTTTTTTGAGACAGAGTGTAGTTTTGTCACCCAGGCTGGTGTGCAGTGGTGCAATCTCAGCTCACTGCAACCTCCGCCTCCCAGGTTCAAGTGATTCTCCTGCCTCAACCTCCTAAGTAGCTGGGATTACAGGCATGCACCAACCACATCCGGCTAATTTTCATATTTTCAGTAGAGACGGGGTTTCACCATGTTGGCCAGGCTGGTCTTGAACTTCTGGCCTCAAGTGATCCGCCAACCTCAGCCTCCCAAAGTGCTGGGATTACAGGTGTGAGCCTCCGCACCTGGCCAACATTATTGTTTCTGTCGATAATCTCTGTGGTGAGTTTTGGCAAAGTATTTTATAACCATTTTGTTTTTATAGTATGTTTACAGGGTCACTTGTTTGTCTGCTAGTGAGAAACCTGGCTCCCACCATTGGTAGCTTCCATTTTTTATTTCTCTGTGTGTGTTATGTGTGAGAAGTAGAATCCACTGTTTTAGAGGTGATTACCTTAAGCTGGTTAATGGAATATATAGCCGTAGATTTGATGTTTTCATTTTCTCTGAAGAGCTAACACAAGTAAGTTTAAATATTATTCTTACAATCTTTCCAGAAATTAAAATGCTTCAGCCATGATACAGCAGTCTTTGGAATCTTTTAAAGGGCTGAGTTGAAGATGTGATTGTTCTCTTAAAAAATAAATAATATTTTAGGTACTCACCAGGGCTTCCCACTTCTAAAGATAAACACTAACAAGTAGTTGTTCCAGCACACAATTTGCTTTCCTGTAGCATCAAGCCAGTTATTTGTATTGCAAAATTCATTTGACATTATTTATTATACTTTCACTTAAGTTTATATCAAGAATATTTTATAAAACCATTACTTACTAAGCAATACGATACAGTTGTCCCTTGATAGCCATAGGGGGCTGGTTCCAGGATACCACCCCACCATGCTCAAGTCCCTAGTGTTTCCATCTAACCTACACACATCTTCCCGTATACTTTAAGTCATCCCTAGATTACTCATAATACCTAATACAATGGAAATGCTGTGTATGCAGTTGTTACATCATATTGTTTCTTGTTTGTATTTTTTATTGTTGTATTCTTATTTTTAATTTTTTCTTCAAATAATTTTGATTTGCAGTTGGTTGAATCTGCAGATATGGAACCCATGGATACAGAGAGCCAGCTGTACTTAACTCCTGTATCAGTAGGTTTCCAAAATTATTTCTGAAATTAAAATCTTTGTAAGGAAGACTTGTTGGTCAGAAATTCAAATCCAAGACTTTTCAGTTTCTGCTTCATGTGCTGTTAAAACCCAGCTTTTCATAAACAGTTCAGCATTTCCTTTTTTTTTTTTTTTCCCCTTTCCATTTCTCCTATATTGTCAATTTTGGTTGAACATTAATTGCTTTTTGAGAACTATAGTTGGTAATCTATAGTGTGAAGCATTTTGGTAACAATTTTATAATTTTGTTTTGGTTTTTGAGACAGGGTCTCACTCTGTCACCCAGACTGCAATGCAGCGAGGCGATTTTGGCTGATTGTAGCCTCTGCCTCCTAGGCTCAAGTGATTCTCCCCACCGCAGCCTCTCAAGTAGCTGGGACCACAGGTGTGTGCCAATTTTTGTATTCTTTTTTGTAGATATAGGGTTTCGCCATGTTGCGCAGGCTGGTCTCGAACTCCTCAGCTCAGGCGATCTGCCTGCCTCAGCCTCCTCAAGTGCTGAGATTACAGGTATGAGCCAGTCACCATGCCCGGCCTTGGTAGCAATTTAAGATGTATTTCAGATCCTAGAAAATATGAAGGTACTCTGTGAATAGCAACACTATTATTAATTGTCTGTGTTATTCTAGACTCCTTGCTCTCTTTTTTATGGAATAGCCTATTCTTATCCTAAATATTTTTCATGCCCCTTCCCTCTATCCTCACTGTTACTACTCTGGTTTTGGCTCATGCCCCCCCGACCCTTTTTTTTTTTTTTTTACTGTTTTTCTCTGCCATTCACTGGCACAAGAAATGATTTCTCTAAAATATAAGTTTTAATTGTGGAATAATCTTGGTAAAATGGTTTTGTGGTTCCTCATCTTGTATAGGTAAAACCTAAACTCCTTTTCTTTCAAGGTCTCCAGACTTACCTATCTGGTCTTATCTCCTGCCTTCCTGTTCTAAGCTCTTTTGCAGTTTAGCTGCTATTTTCCCATTCTTATTCCTACTCCCTGATATCTCTTCTGCCTGTCTAACACTAAGTCGTTCTTCAAGGTTAGCTCAATTGCCACTTCTCTGTACGGAACACTTGTCTTACACCACTACACTCTCCCACTGCATTTTGCATGTACACCAAGTAAAACATTTCAGTTAAAAAATTTTCTGTGTTTGCATGTGTGTATTGATAATTCCCATTAGGCATTGAGCAGGACTATTTTTATCTCTGTGTCCTTAGTACTCCTGGCTCACAATAATATTTAATTGGATAGAGAGATGACTCAGTGGTTGGATGCAAAGAAAATCTTAAATGAAATGAAATAAAACGTCTCATGGTATTTGAAAGAGTATTCAGCCCAGGATTTGGGAGACTGTACCTTTCTGTTCAGGGTTCTGTTTCTTGCTGTTGTTTGGCAAGTCAGTTTTCCTTTCTGAAACTCCATTTTCTCCTCTATAAAATGGGCATCATCTTAGACTAGATCTAAAATGCTTAATTTTTTCATTCATTGACTCCTTTAAGAAATTAAGAGCTATGGGGCCTCTCACGTATACATGTAAATATGCATACTTAATTTTGAAAATAAGCTTGTGCTAAAATATTAATATTGTTATTTTGGGGTGATGGGGCTATACTCTCCCTATTTTTCCGTGTTTTAGAATTTTTCCTTCATGAGTTTTTAAAAAGTATATAAACTTTATTAAAACTAAAAGCAAACCAAACTGTGTTTAAATGAGAGTAGTTAAAAAGATTAAAGTTTTGCATAATTCTTAGGAAAATTTTGCAGACTCTAAAATTATTCAAAAACTTTGCTAATGAGGAAAATGAAATATAAAAAAGATTTAATTTGCTTTTTATCTAATTGAAATACAGAAAAAAGTATACTGCTTCCTAGCACATCATTGGGAGCTATTTTTTTAAATCTAGAATTCACATTTGACTATTATGTTATATAGTTATTTCTAGCTTTAAGAAAACTGGCTCAGAAGATGCAATTCAGCAGGACTTTTCGAATTTGAGTCACAGTTGAAGCTTTAATGGAGTTTCTATTTAGTTGCCTTTCCTGCCCCTTCTGTTCTTTTCTGCATGCTCCCCTTGTCCTGCCCCCATATCTCACAGCATTTTGCCTTGCTAATTGTTTTTATGACATTGTTATATATGACTCCAGTGTGTATTTTGATTGACCTTTAGATTATCTGCCAGCTTTTGAAGACTCTCAAAAGTTCTGTGGTGACTATATTTTGAAAACAGCTGTGTTTAGAGCCCCTTTTTTGGCCAAAGGGATGGAATGGAAACACACACTTGGCTGACATGGCCTTCCCTGGTGACCTCTGTTCCTGTGACCTGTAGCAGTATTACTCATTGTGGGGCCATTGGTAGTTGCACTCACAGTCTCATCTGTTACTTAACTTTCTTTCTGTCATTCGTATACTTTAATGTACTCTCATGTCTGTTTGCACATTTTTAAGAAGGTGGGACTGCTATTTCTGTTGTTTTTATTAAGTAGAAAATAAAGAGTTCTCAGAATAAAAACTAGATTTAAATTAAATAATGGTTTAGATCAAATTCAAATGGTAAGAATAGGCATTATACTGAAAATGTCAGAGCAGCAAAACAGCCATGACCCAGTTTAACAAAATAACCATTCAGTAAGTTTTTATTGAGAATTTATTGTGTGCTAGGCACTGAGCTAGATGTTAGAAATGAATACAATGGTGAACAAATCAGACATATTTCTTTTCTGTTATAATTTCAAGGCTGGTTGATTTCTTATGCCACAAGTCTAATAAATCTTAATATTCTATTTCAGAAGCTAGAGAGAGGTCTTGAAGAGTTGTGGGTTAAATATGAAAGCTTAAATCTGTGTATCAAAAGCATTTGTATAGTGCCTCTAGGATTTTTTGTGATGTAATTTGATCCATAGTGGCATCCATTGCCAAGAAATCAAATGATATTTTTTTCAAGCAGTATTTCTTTAGTGTCATGGAATATACAGAATGTGTATTTTTTTGCCTGTTAGATGTTTAATATTAGTAGATTGATGATTCTCTCAACTAGTATCTTTTTAAAGAGTGATGTTAATTATTTTAATGAAATGGCATTATTTTTTATCCTAAAAGCGTAAGTGTATCAGTTTTTCCCAAAAAGAGAAATTGCTTTAGGAACTGGTCTTATTTTAGGCTAAAAATCTCTTAATGATTGTTGATAATAAAAAAACTTACTTTAGAGAAATGTTGGTAATTTTAGAAAGACTTAAGGTGGAAATAGCAGTAACTCTGTAAATAAAAACCTGTCCAGCATCAATAACATGAGGATTGCTTAGTTTATTATAAGTATTTTGCTTTTGTGGTCAGTTTTATATTGGAATGAACTGTGCTAAAACTTGGAAAATGTTAATGGTTTTTCTTTTAGTAATACACTTCTCATGATGTCTACCTCATTTTGAAATACTTTGGTGAGTTAGAGTAGCAGCAGATCATCCTATAATTCTCTAGTTAACAGCTAAAATATTTTATGTGTACACATATGTATGTAATGTATTTAATTTTGAGAAAATGTTAGGTGTCTATTGAGCAGCCAGACTCTCTGTGTTGAATTATGTCAGCCAAAAATATATGATTTATACCATTAAAACAATTGGTTCATGATATATGTGCAGATACACTGACACCTTTAGAGAATAACAAGCAAGTTCTGTTTGCTTTCTAATACTTTGAGCTTTTTATGGTTGAAGTATAGAACATGCCTGTGGTAGAGGAATTTTAAGCATCTATTAAGGAGGATCAAAGATTAGAAATGATGCAGTTACCTTGTATTCTCCCAGTCCATAGTGATTGTAATATGGGAGACGAATATTAATTAAGACTACTTAGCAAGATATACTTCATAAAACAGCACAATTATCTGTAGAACTGACAATATTTCCTGCATTTCCCTCTCCTTATTCCAGTAAGCAGAACTAGCAGTTGAAACTTTAAGGATTAAAATTGATTATTTGTTTCACAGCTGGGACCATGGAGATCTGGTGGTGGTAAGTCTTGTCAGCTTAGGGAGGAGGACCTTGACTCTTGGCTCAGCAGAGTCAGAAAAGGAACCCAGCCTTCTGCCTCTTGAGATGTCTTTTGTTTACTTTACCATAGTGTTCTTCTGACCTGAGGAAGTCTTTGACTGTAGGTTATCTTTAATATATCCTTCCTCATAAACTTTCTCTATTTAATCATCACATTTCCTTTGTTAGATATACACTAGTGTCTCCCCTATCTGTGGGGGATGGATTCCGAGAACCCCAGAGGATGCGGAAAACCACAGATAGTACTGAACCCTATATATGTTGTGTTTTCCTATATATACATACCTGTGATAAAGTTTAATGTATAAATTGGGCACAGTAAGAGATTAACAACAGGAACTAATAAATAGAACAATTACAATATACGGTAGTAAAAGTTTATGAATGTGATCTCTCACTTAAAATGTCTTACTGTACTCACACTCAAAAGTGTTGATTCTATAGTTTATCTTGCTTTATCATTAGGTACTTTTTAACATTGGTTATTCATAAGTTTATAAAGACGGTGGGAGTTGAGGAAAGGAAGATTGAGCAATTGCTATCACTTGTGAAGGTGCTGTGGTCTCTCGACTAGCATCCTTGTACAAGTGATCCCCTGCCTGAGTCTATCCACAGTTGCTCATGGTATTGAATATTTTAAAAATAAGCTTTAAGAGTCAGTATACAGGCCGGATGTGGTGGCTCACGCCTGTAATCACAGCACTTTGGGAGGCCAAGGCAGGTGGATCACCTGAGGTCAGGAGTTTGAGACCAGCCTGACCAACAGGGTGAAACTCCGTCTCTACTGAAAATACAAAAATTAGCTGGGTGTGGTAATGGGTGCCTGTAGTCCCAGCTATTCAGGAGGCTGAGGCAGGAGAATTGCTTGAACCTGGGAGGCGGAGTTTGCAGTGAGCCGAGATCGCACCACTGCACTGCAACTTGGGTGACAGAGTGAGACTCCATCTCAAAAAAAAAAAAGAAAGAAAAAGTCGGTATACAAATCGCTTGAAACAGTATACCACCTAATTTAATACTTTTCTGTTTCAGATGTGTATTGTTTAGTTTCTTAAAATAGCCTTTTCGTTCTCTGTGTATCAAACACAGTAATGACGGCAAATATCAACCGGGATGTATTATATACTTGCAGGTTTGAAGTTAAACATTTTGAAATATACCTTGGAATGGTGTAAATATACTGAAAATATAACACTTGCCTTAGGTTATATATTTTAATGAATACAAAAATAAAGCATGGTGAATATTGATGCGCTCTTAGAGGATACTTAAAAAGGAGATCAGTTTTAAAATTTGCTAGATCCTCTTATGACTCCTTGCCTGTGCACGTGCATTTTCTCCTGCCTGGCATGCCCTCCTCTCTCACCTCTTGCCATAGTGGGCTATTCCATAGCACTGTGTGTGTGGTATCAATTTGATCCTTGCACTTGATCCTTTCACTACAAAATAGATTTAACACAGCCTTGCAGTTGGCAGAGATAGGGTAGGAACATCTCCTTCCTTAAGTCAAGCAAGTCCCAAGAGACTCCGAATGCTAACATACCACCTGTACTGTTAATCACTCTTGCTAATGGTTTTCTGTTAGAACTTGATGCCTTGCATTATACCTCCTCCCGTTCTTTCTTCCCTTCCTCCTAGTTAAACGTCCCTTCTTGAGTTTGAATAGAAACCTTTTTGTACCTCTGTCATAGCATTTATCTCATTGCATTGGCATTGTTCCTTTGTCACCATATTAAATTGAGTCTTTTTTTTTTTTTTTTTTTTTTTTTTTTTGAGATGGAGTCTTGCTCTGTCACCCAGGCTAGAGTGCAGTAGCGTGATCTCGGCTCATTGCAACCTCTGCCTTCCGGGTTCAGGCGATTCCCCTGCCTCAGCCTCCCGAGTGGCTGGGATTACAGGCACCTGCCACTGCGCCCAGCTGATTTTTGTATTTTTAGTAGAGATGGGGTTTCACCATCTTGGCCAGGCTGGTCTCAAACTCCTGACCTCGTGATCCACCTGCCTTGGCCTCCCAAAGTGCGATTACAGGCATGAGCCACTGCGCCCAGCCTAAATTGAGTCTTTTGAAAGCAGGGTCTGGTTTTCTGTATTTCCTGGAAAGTTCCAGGAAACACTTGACACAGGAGATACTAAACTGAATCAAAGAATCTGATATGGAATATATTTATTTGCATCACCATTTTGGAACACATTTCCCCCATTCATGCTTCTCAAATAGTCTCTTAAATCTACTTTTGCCTAAAATACCCTACACCATAGCTTGAAAATAGCATAAATTTTTTTGTAGTCTTTTGGCAGATTTCTGTCACAGTGTTTACCTTGTATTACAGTTGGTGGGAAGGAACATTTTTTGAGCTATTGCCGGTGTCTTTATAATGTATACAATTTTGGATGTAACACATTAAATTTGAACTTTGGTATTCTGCACCACTTCCTTTGCTTTATGTTTTTTCTTTAGCTCACATAGAAAAATATTGCACACAAGAAAGAACATAGTGGATGCTAAAAGAAACAAACCCTTTTTAAGCCTTTAGTAGGACTGTTTGCCAGTCTGTTTTTATGTAGTTTTGTTACATCACTTAGGTGAGCTCTACGTTAGTAAGGAGAAGATTTGCAGAGGATGTCATTTCTGGAGAGGAAAGAGAGAAAAGAGAAAACATGTCACAGTATAATTAAAGCAGAAAACTGACTTTTAGTGTTGTTTTTGTTTCAGATTGTCACATTTATTTATTTCTATAATAATGATTAATGATGACACTGTTAATCCAAGTGAGCTTATTTTGAAGTAAAGCTATTGAGACACTTTATTTTTTCTCCTTTCTCCTCCCAAAATAAAAAAAAAGTATGTGGAGTGGGAGTAGGAGGAGGAAAGAAACAGTAGTATGGTAACTATTTGTTCAACACTAAGCAATCTATTGAATGTCTTTGGCTCTCTTCTGGCTTCTGAGAACTGAGATACAGCCCCTGCTTTTAAGGGGTTCCATAAGCTATTCCAGTGGTTCTAAAGAGCTGCTAGGGATGGCCAACATCAGATCAGAGTCACTTGGATTGCTTTTTCAATATAGCTTATTCCCATAAGGACCTCCAACTATTCTAGGAACTTCTGACAGAGTAGGGAATGTTGTGGAAAAGTACTTAGTAAAATATTAGAAAATGGTCTGCTACAAATTTAAACTGGGTATAATTTGATTTGATACTTGATAAAGTTTGGAAACCTCTGTGTCCCCACCCACATCTCATCTTGAATTATACTCCCATAATTCCCACGTCCACGTGTTGTGCGAGGGACCCAGTGGGAGATAATTGAATCATGGGGGCAGTTATCCCCATATTGTTCTCGTGGTGGTGAATAAGTCTCACAAGATCTGATGGTTTTATCAGGAGTTTCCGCTTTTGCATCTTCCTCATTCTCTCTTTGCCTGCTGCCGTCCATGTAAGACGTGACTTGCTCCTCCTTGCCTTCTGCCATGATTGTAAGGCTTCCCCAGCCACGTGGAACTGTAAGTCCAATTAAACCTCCTTCTTTTGCAAATTGTCCAGTCTCGGGTATGTCTCTATCAGTGGCATGAAAATGGACTAATACAATACTAGATATATTTTTTCCAAGTTTTTATGTTGAACAATTTATAGTCTACAGAAATCAAAAGAACAATACAGTGAACACTTGTATACCCTTCACCTTGATTCATTATTTGCAAACATTTTGTCACATTTGCTTTAGCTTCTCTCTCTGTCTGTCTCTCTCTCTCTCACACACACACACACACACACACACACACACACACTTTTTCTGAACCATTTGAAAAATAAGTTGCAAATGTCAAGACATCTGACTCCTAAATACTTTAATGTGAATCTCCTAAGGACAAAGACATTCTACAGAACTGCAGTACCATTATCCTACCAAAGGAATTTAACATTAATACGTTAATATTGTCTATTATTTAGTTCATATTCAAATTCTCCACTTATACTGCAATATCCTCTATAGACTTTTATAAAAATTGTAATCTAGGATTGAATCAAAAAGTATGCATTGCATCTGTTAATCATGTTTTTTTTTTGTTTTGTTTTTTTGTTTTTTGGAAACAGAGTCTCGCTCTGTCGCCCAAGCTAAAGTGCAGTGGTGCAATCTTGGCTCACTGCAACCTCCACCTCCCGGGTTCAAGTGATTCTCGTGCCTGAGCCTCCCAAGTAGCTGGGATTACAGGTGCCCGCCACCATGCCTGACTAATTTTTGTATTTTTAATAGAGACAGGATTTTGCCTGTTGGCCAAGCTGGTCCCAAACTCCTGGCCTCAAGTGATCTGCCCGCTTCGGCCTCTCAAAGTGCCAGGATTACAGGTGTGAGCCACCATGCCTGTCCTGGTTATCATGTTCTTTTAAGCCAGATTCTAGAATGGTATTTTCATCTTTTTATACTGACACTTGTGAAATGTCTAATTCAGATCTCTTATGTTTAAAAGATTTTATGATTGAATCATTTTAAATACCCAAGGATATTTTATTATTTATTAAGGAAAACCAAACGAAAATACTTGCCTTCTTTCATTACATAATTTGTTCCCCATTAGTAAGACTGCATTTGTCAACAACCTATATTTTGACCTGTAGTAGAATTTTAGCATTTTTAGAGCCAGAAGAGATCTTGGATCTGTAGGTAAATATTTTCATTTTATAGATGAAACTGAGGTATGGAGATATCAAGTCTTAACCAACCAGGGGTGATTTGTCATCCCACCCCGGAGGCATTACACATGTATGGAGATGTTTTAGTGTTGTCACAACTAGAGAGGTGCTACTGGCCAGGGATGCTGATAAACATCTTACAGTGCACAGAACAGAATTGTCTAGCCCAAATTGTCAGTAGAAACAAGGTTAAGAAACCCTGTCTAAAATCACACAGCTCATGGTGGGACTTAAAACCATGTTACTTGACTTTCAATTCTGTGTTCTTTCTACACACAAAAACGGAAATGCCTTGTTCTCTTTCCCTTTCATTCTCTCCGACTTCATCCTCCATTTCCATTAAGACAGATTAGAACATACTGCTTGAGAGAACATGGAGTATCTTTCTAAAATGAGAAATATAGGCTGGGGATGGTGGCACACGCCTGTAATCCCAGCACGTTGGAAGGCCAAGGTAGGAGGATTGCTTGAAGTGAGGTATTTGAGACCAGCCTGGGCAACATAGTGAGATCCTGTCTTTAAAAAAAAAAATTATTTTTAATATTTTTTTAAAAAAGAAATATAAATGTGCTTTCAGTGGGGTTTTATTCCTGTAGTAAAAATTTGTGCAGAATGACTTTTTTAAGAGCAGTTTAGATAACCATAATTGTTCTTCACTTTTCATTATATGAGGTTTGAGTTAAGAAACAACACTTTCTCATACATTATCTTATTTGGTACTCACAGAAACCCTTCGTAGTTATAATGAACAAAGCAAATAGCATTTGCTTTTCACAAGTGAGAAAATAAAAGTTCCCAGAAAATAACATCCCATCTAATTGTGGTCAGGTAAGGTATTAGTCAAAGTTATGTGGAGATAGATTTCAGTTGAACAGGCAAAACAGGAACAGGTAATCTCAAAATGTCCTAAGCACCTGGTCACTATATTTAGGCAGAGGTTCTGGGATATTGTTGGGGATGTTGTACAAGTGATTTAGGTATCGAATAGACATTGGAGATACAATAGAGAATTAGATAGAGCTCCATTGAGTAACACACTCTTATTAGGGAGCCAAACTTTAAACAGGTGAAGTTTACTACAGCTCAGTATTTGATGTTATGAAGGTAGTGCTTTAAATGTGCCATGCTTTCTCTTTTGTGCCTGAACACACATACAATTCTCTGTGCTCAGGATCTGTTTCCTTTCTTTCATTTCATAAGCATGTATTAGGTCTTAACATTCACTCATTCATTCACCAAGAATTTGTTGAGCACCCACTCTGTCTTAGGGACTGTTACAGATAATGGAACAAACAAAACAATTCTGCCCTGTTGGAGCTTATATCCTAATGAGGGGAGACAGACAACAAATAAGATAAGTGAAATGTAGAATGTCAGATGATGATAAGTACTGTGGAAAAAAAGCAGCACAGGAGAGAGATCATGCTGGACAGCAGTGGGTAGGGGGTATGATAAGGGCTGCTTTTTGAGTAGATTATTCAAGGAAGGCCTCACAGAGCAGGTCATATTTGAGCAAAGACCTGAAGAAGGTGAAGCCAACTGTGGTTATCTGAGGGAACGGCATTCTAAACTAGGGGTGGGCAAAAGTTTTCTGTAACAGGCCTAAAGTAAATACTTAGTCTCTGTTGTAGCTATTCAACTTAGCTATTATAGTATGAAAGCAACTATATGCTATATGTAAGGAAATAAGCAGGTCTTTGTTTCAATAAAATACAGAAACAGGCAGTGGGCTCTACTTTGCCAACTCCTGCTTTAAGTGGAAGGAACACCTAATGCAAAAACACCGGGTAGCAGCAGGGCTGGCATGTTGGAGGAGCAGCAGGGAGGCCAGTATGGCTGGAACTCAACGGGCAGAGGTCAGCTCCCCATTAGGGCCTTGCAGGCAACTGTCACGATAACTTTTTGTCAGAATAGGAACAAAGGCATCGAAGGTTTTCAACAGGGAGATACCATGATCTGGTGAGAAAGATCAGGGGTTTGTTTTTGAACATGTTAATTTTAGATGCCTATTAAACACCCTAGTGGAGTTGTCAAAAAGGAAGTTGGATATGTGCCTGGTGTCCAGAGAAGAAGTCTGTACTGGAGCCAAAATGTGACTCTTCAACTTAGAGATAGCACTTAAACCATTAAACTGTTCTTAACAGGGGTAATATAACTCTATTGGGGGGGCGGAAATTGGTTCTTGAGGGAGATGAAAAACAATCTTAGATATTACAGTGGATCACACCAAAACCCAACCCTACCCAACACAGTCAATTCTTAGTATTTAATTTCGTGGGGGATAGGATGGTTAAGAAAAAGATGTCTAAAAGTCTCCTTGGAAGAATGATAATGAAAATTAGGTAGAAAACAATGCATTAGATTCAACTCACTGAGGTCACCAAGGGGGAGCCTCAGTCTGAGGACTGAGCTCGAAGGTGCTCCAGTGTTTAGAGACTTGGGGTGGTAAGGCAGAACCAGCAAAGGAGACTGAGGAGTGGCTGGTGGGGTGAGGAACCAAATGAGAACTGTGTCCTGGAAACCAAGTGAAAGAGGTGTTTCCAGGAAGAGGGATCCACTGTTAAATATTGCTGATGGGTCCGGTAAGATGAGAACTGAGAATTAAATGTGTATATGAGGCTGTGGTGAAGAAGGTAGACATTTACTTAGGTCTCAGCTTAAGTATTATTTCATTTGGTAGGCTACCTTTCACTATGATGAGGCTGGGTCCCCCCTTTTTTCTTAACTCTGGTAAAAATCACATAACATAAAATTTATCAACTTAATCTTTTTTAAGTGTACAGTTCAGTAGTGTTAAGTATATTCAAATTGTTGTGAAACATCTCCAGAAATTTTTCATCTTGCAAATCTGAAACTCTGTACCTGTTAAACAACAACCTTTCCTTTCCCCTACCCCCTAGCTCCTGGCACCCACCACTTTACTTTCTGTTTCTGAGCTTCAATACTTCAGATACCTCATATAAGTGGAACTATACAATATTTGTCTTTCTGTGACTGCCTTATTTCACTAAGCATGATGTCCTCAAGGCTTGTTCATGTTATAGTATGTCGCAAGATTGCCTTCTTTTTAAAGGCTGAATGGGCCTCCTTATGTACTTTCGTAATACTCTTACAGTAACACTCCTAACAAGAAATTGTAATTTCTTATTTGTCTTTTTCCCTGAAAGACAGGAGATTTCCAAGATTCAGTGGCAGAGTATGTCTGTCTTATTCATAGATGTATTCATAGCCTCTGGAAAATACTGAATGAGAATTCTGTGTAAAAATAGAAGACAGAATACCTTCCTTTGCTTGGAGGAATCTCAACGCTCGAAAATTTTGTTGAAGAGATGATACTTGAAGTGGTTTTGAAGAAGTAGGAATTTATCAGGCTGAGAAAGGGCCACCTAGGCAGAGAGAGCAGCCTACAGCTATACATGGTTTCATGATAGGACCTTGTATGTAGCTCCAGCAGAAGGTTTGGAAAGTGGCAAACCATATATTGTGATGGATTGTGATCAGAGGATGGAGAGCCTTGCCTGCCAATGCAAGAAGCTTGCTTTTACTTTCTAGGCACCTTTAGGCAGCTGGGAGCAAATGGAGCTTTCTGAGGAAGTGAGTGATGGGATGAGCTTCCTTTTTTTGGTTTGGGTTGGGGTTAGGGTTTTCGTTTTGTTTTGTTTTGTTTTGTTTTAAGGAAGATCATTCTGGTGGCCCTTTGGAGGGGGCACGGGAGTGGTGATATGGACTGGTAGAAGGAATGGCAGTTATATGAGTATTGCAGCAGTCCGAGCAACACAGGACAGAGACCTCAAGTAAGCAGGCTTGGCTAGGACAGACTATTCAGAAGAAATTTATAAGGTAGAATTACTGTGATGTGACCAACTGGCTGGGACGAGGACACAGTTCCGGGGTTAGGAATGTTAGAGAAGTAACAGATTTGAGTCAGAAACCGAGTTCTTTGTGGATATGGTAAATCTGGAGTACATTGAGGGCACCAAGGTTAGAGTCTAGCATAGAGAGAGAGAGAGAGAGGGACAAAGAAAGATTCATCTGAAGCCTAAGGAGTGGACTAGGCTACTATTTCTTTTTTCTTTTTTTTTTGAGACAGGGTCTCCCTCTGTCGCCCAGCCTGGAGTACAGTGGCATGAACACGGCTCACTGCAGCCTCAGCCCTCTGAGCTCAAGTGATCACCCACCTCAACCTCCCAAACTGCTGGGATTACAGGTGTGAGCTCACTGCTCTCAGCCTGGGCTTCTATTTCTTATGTTGCTGTGTGTTGTAGCTGGCCCTGTGATGAATTATCCCTCATCTGTGTAGGAATCCTGCAAATCGGGCACCATGCTCTCTTTCTCATTGAGGAAAACAAAGGCAAATAGATTAAGAAGTTTATTCAAGGTAACACAGCTAGCAAGTGGTAGTGAAAGAATCAACAATTAGATCTGTTAGATGGTAATACTTAGTAAAGGAAATTTCAACAAAATTAAGGATGAAAGTTGATTGCTTCTGCTAGATAGCTGTTTATCTAGAGCTTTAAGTTTTAATGGATTAAAAAATACTAGTGCTTTGGAAGAAAATAAGTTTTACTTGATAGTCCTCTCTTACCTCCCCAATTCTTGGCTTGGGGTGCATTATATAAGTTCTGTTTTTTGTAAAAGCATTTTTGCCTCCATTCTGCATTGGTGTTTTTTGAGGCCATGCTATGCTACCAATTTTAGGAGGAATTGGAATACTTTCAAGTATGCTTAATCTAGAGCCTGAGATTTGGAGAAACCTTGACTTAAATTTTTATTTCAGTCTGAACGCATTTAATGACTGTTGGTGTTAGGCAAGTGACCATAAGAAATGTGACTTCTGGTGAGTAACTTTGCCTTATGTGAGCCTCAGTTTGTTTGCTCATGTAAAAAATGAGGATGATAACTCTTACCTCCTGAGGTTTGAGAATAATTAAATTATAATATATGTACACTTTTCCATAGTTACTAGTGCTGTTCCTGACATGTAGCAGCTAGGTGCTCAGTAGACGTATTAGTTCTCCTTTACTGCTCACTCATATTGCTCTCATCTGAATTTATCTCAATCCCCTTTACCATATCTCTCCTCCTTCCTGCTGGCTGCTAAAACTGAGGGCCCAGCATAACTGCAGTCACTGGAGATGCCCTAAGGAAATTGGGACTGGAACAGCTACCTACTTTTTGGATCCTGGAATCGATGATCTGTATGTCCCAAACCTTAAATATTAAATGAAGGTTACCCTCTATATGTAAGATATCACCTTTGGATTATAGGACAACCTCTTCTCATGAAAACCTTGCTTCTCTGTATTCTAAATACAGTTGTCCCTTGGTTTCTGTGGGGAGTTGGTTTCAGGACCCCCTTGGGGATACCAAAATCTGTATCCACCTGCCCTCCCCACAGATACCGAAATGCTCAAATCCCTTATATAAAATGGCTTAGTATTTGCATGTATCCTAAGCACATCCTCCTGTGTACTTTAAATCATCTCTAGATTACTTATAATACCTAATACAATATAAATGCTATGCAAGTAGTTGTTATACTGTATATAAATACATTATTTGTAATGTAAATTACAAAATGTAAATACATTGCTTTCTATGTATTTAAGGACTAATGACAAGAAAAAAATGTCTAGATCCGTTCAATACAAATGCAACCATCCATTTTTTCCCAAATATTTTCAGTTCACAATTGGTTGAACCCATGGGTGTGGAGGACTGACTTTACCTGAATAACCAAGAAGGGTTAATGCAGGGAACCACATACAAAAGTCAGCTTTTGTTGAATAGTTTAGGAAGTTATTTACTACTCATAACATGGAATGAAGATGCATTCCAGGAAAACATTTGCAGACTTCAGACACAATGTATTCATACATGGGGACTGCATACACTTACTTGTTTATCATCTTCTCTTTTTCCAGGAAGCAATATTTTAGGAATTATTTTCTCTAGTCTGAATTAACAGGGAATATCAGATCTGCATATAACCATCTCCAAATTGCTTTGAAAAATATTTAGTAAAACTGACAACCTCAATATTTAATGAAAGGTATTATAAATTAGTGACTTGCAATCGAATGCCCATGTTTGCATGTTTTTCCTTAAGCTCTTCACATATATGTTTCTAATTGTTTATTATAATACACAAGTAATAGACAAATCTGTTTAAAATCATCGTGAAGAGATCAGTCTGTCATCTTCATTTTTCTATATATTGATCAGAGGTTCTTTTGAGCACATGTTGGTTAATAGCATAGTTCAGTAATTGAATTTAGTATTCAAATAAACTTTAAGCAACACTGGTAGTCTCTTATCCGTTAAGTTGAATAATTTTCTTTTATCTGTATTTGTTGAGTCAGTGGGCAGACAGGAGCTTATCTCTAAACTAGCAGGTGGTAGGTACCTCCCCAGTAGGTTTTACTTCTTTCAACAAAGAAGGCTTAAATTACAGTAATGTATCCTTGTTGGGTTCAAGAGTAATCAGTTTATTGTCTCTTTAAAAAAATAAGGGTACTTTTTCTAAATAAATATTAAACTCTCTTATTAACTTAAAAGCTTGCATGTTGATTTTTTAAAGCTCATTTGCAAGGATTAGGTAGATTTTGTGTGCATGTGTACTTAACTCCCAGTTAGGATATCACCTGTGCTTATGTTGGTTCATTTGCGTTTTTCAAACGGGCAAGTTTCTGGATATGGATAGCAACGTATGTACAAACATGTCTAACTAAAATTTGCAATATGAAAGGTAGGATGCAGAAAGGTATTTTTGTCAAAATAATCTATATTTTAAACTTAAAGATCTTTGCTAAACTGTGTGGGGGTAGATTAATATTGTACAGTGACTGTGTATCAATTCCATGAAAAACTTCAGTTGCAACAATTAAAAGTGCCAGGCCAGGCAGGGTGGCTCATGCCTGTAATCCTAGCGCTTTGGGAGCCAGAGGCGGGCAGATCACGAGGTCAGGAGTTTGAGACCAGCCTGGCCAACATGGTGAAACACCGTCTCTACTAAAAATACAAAAAATTAGCCGGACGTGGTGGCAGGCGCCTGTAATCCCAGCTACTCAGGAGGCTGAGACAGGAGAATCGCTTGAACCTGGGAGGCAGAGGTTGCAGTGAGTCAAGACCGTGCCACTGCACTCCAGTGTGGGTGACAGAGCGAGACTCCATCTCAAAAAAAAAAAAAAGAAAGTGCCATATTGATCTTATAAGTAAGTAAATACTAAGCCTTAGTCCAAACAGTTGGCAAACAGATGAAGTCATAATCATAACTATTTGAATTCCTAGCATATTTATGGCACTATAAAGCATTATGGCAGTTACAGAGACTTGTTTATATTTTCATTTGTATTTGTGGGCATAAAAAAATTACATATTTAGGAAGTAGCCTAAAATACTGAAGAGATGAGTATGTATCCAACAATGTTACTTGTTCTTACTTTAATCGTAAACTGACCAATTAGAAATCATAATTGAACACATTAGTTCATCTGTATTATTTTTCTTGAACAACTGAATACACAAGATTTAATGTTATTAAAAATTTTTCAGGTTAAAAGTGACATTCAATAATTGTTGGCAAGCTCATTTCTCTTCTACCTTCGTGCCAGAGCTGTGCATCTCCTAACAACTGCTGGATTTACATGAATATTGTAAAATATTTTATAAAAATTATTTTTCAATTTTAAATGAAGTTGATGGAGTATCATAAAAAGCAGCAAAGATATTGACTCAAGTAGTCAAATGGCTAAAAATGTTGAAGTTTTATTAATATACTTGAAAAATACTGGTTTTGAAATAATTTGATCTGTAATCTTCTCTCTGGAGCACGATTTCCTTTAAACTTCTTCAACTGTGTACAGGTTTGTTCTCACTGCACATATACCTGGACACCCACAGGCTGGTTTGGCATCCACCAGCCTTTTCTCTACTTTCACATTATCCTTTTCTTTAAAGACAAGAATTGTGTCCGTTATCTTTGTCCTCAGCACTGAGCATTTTGTCTGGAGCATAGCACTCTCAATAAATATGTTTTTAATTAATTTATAATCAGTGACCATTAATGGTTACTTTTGTATCATTTGGATTTGGCATCTAATGAGAAAATAGTAAGTTAAATTGCAAAGATCTTATTAAAAGCTCAATACATTATGTCTGTTCGGAGCTATGACATTTTGCAATAGAACGATACTGAGCTGCTTTGTATGTGTTCTCTTGGTCAGTATGTAATTTTTGCCAAGGACAGGCTCTACTTAAAAGTGATAACTCAAAATATCAAACCAACCAAAATATGGGTTCATACTATCCCCCTCTGTGGTTGCTTATCTCTTTGTGTTTGCAGCACACTCCTGAAAATGTAGTGCTGCTTTGTATCATTCCTTAACCCTGTGTATAACGCGCTGTTGCTTCCAGTTTTAAGACCAAGAATGTTAACTGCCTAGGAGGCAACATGGTATATTTCGCCTGTCAAGTCTTAAATAATATTTTCTTTCTTTCTTTTTTTTTTTTTTTTTTTTTGAGATGGAGTCTTGGTCTGTCACCCAGGCTAGAGTGCAGTGGTGCAATCTTGGCTCACCGCAACCTCCGCCTCCTGGGTCCAAGCAATTCTCCTGCCTCAGCTTCCCAAGTAGCTGGGATTACAGGTGCCTTCCACCATCCCCAGCTAATTTTTGTATTTTTAGTAGAGATGGGGTTTCACCATGTTGGTCAGGCTGGTCTCAAACTCCTGACCTCAAGTGATCCTCCCTCAGCCTCCCAAAGTGCTGGGATTACAGGCATGAGTCACCGTGCCTGGCCTTATATAATAATATTTTTTAATTGCTGTTTTAAAGCTAATTGCCATATGTGTTAGATTTTTATTACAGATTAGGTACAACTCTGTGTTTTGCAGTTCTTAGATATATACCCACTTTCTTTAGTGACTATAATCATTGAACTCATTTTTGTTAATCAAGTCTTTTAAATAACAGCTTTATTGAGAAAGAATTCTTATACTATAAAGTTCACCGTTTTAAAGTGTGCATTCAGAATTGTGCAACCATCACCACCATTTATTTTGAGAATATTTTCATCACCTCCAAAAGAAACCTCATGCTGTCTTTTTCTATCTCCTGCCATCCTGTGGCAACCACCAGTCTACTTTCTGTGTCTATGGATTTGCCTATTGTGAACATTTCATATAAACAGAATGATACAATATGCGGCCTTTTATGTCTGGCTTCTTTCACTTAGTATATTTTTGGAGTTCATTGAGAACTGAACTTCAGAACTTATTTTTGTGGAAATTCATTCAACTCACTATGTTCATTCAAAATACTGTAACTTGTCAGTATTTTGATCATTTTTAGAGCTAAAAAATACTTCATTGTATGGATATAACACATGGACATAAAATGGATTGTTCATTCATTCTTTCTAATGGACATTTGGATAATTTCCAAACCTTTTGGTTGTTAGCAACAATGCTGCCACGAACACTCATGTATACGTGTTTTATGTGGACATATGTTTCCATTTCTCTTATGAATATTTGTATGAATGGAATTGTTATGTCAAGTGGAAACTTAGTAACCTTTGAGGAACTGCCAAACTGTCTTGGAAAGCGGTGGCCCCATTTTATAATCAATCAGCAGTGTGTGAAGTTTCCAATTGCTTCACATTCTCACCAATACTTGTTATTTCCTGTCTTTTTTTTTTTTTTTTTTTTTTTTTTTTTTTGAGATGGAGTTTTGCTCTTGTTGTCCAGGCTGGAGTGCAATGGGTGGCGCGATCTCTGCTCACCACAACCTCCGCCTCCCAGGTTCAAGCAATCCTCCTACCTCAGCCTCCCTAGTAGCTGGGATTACAGGTGCCCACCACCACACCCAGCTAATTTTTTATATTTTTAGTAGAGACGGGGTTTCACTATGTTGGACAGGCTGGTCTCGAACTCCTGATCTCAGGCAATCCACCTGCCTCAGCCTCCCAAAGTGCTGGGATTACAGGTGTGACCCACCATGCCCGGCTTCTTTCCTGTCTTTTTAAATTTTGGCCATCCTAGTAGGTGTGAAGTGGTATTTTGTGGTTTTGATTTGCATTTTCCTGAAGATGCTTAGCATCTTTTTGTGAACCGCTTGTATCTTTTTTGGAGAAACATTTATTCAAATCTTTTGCCCATTTTTTATTAGGTTATTTGTCTTTTTATTGAGTTGTAAGGTTTTTTTTTTGTATTCTATATGCAAATCTTTTATCAGATCTATGATTTGCAAATACTGTTTCTCATTCTGTAGATTCTTTTTTTCACTTTCTTAATGGTGACTTTTGATGCACAAAAATTTTTATTTTTGATGAAGTTTATTTTTTCTTTGTTGCTTTTGCTTTTCCAAGAAATAATTACCTAATCCAAGGTCATGAATATTTAGTCTTGCGTTACATTGAGTTAGTTTTTGTATGTGGCTTGAGGTGGGGTCATTTCATTCTTTTGCTTGTGTATATTCAGTTGTCTCAGCACCATTTGTTGAAAAGACTGTCCTTCCTCCATTGGATTACTTTTTTGTCTTTGTGAAAGATTAAGTTGTCTCGTGACTCTTGCTGAAAAATTAATTGACCATAAATACCAGGTATTATTTATGAAATCTCCATTATATTCCATTGATTCATTATGCCAGTACCAGATTGTCTTGATTACTATAGCGCTGTAGTAAGTTTTGAAAATGGGAAATGTGAATTCTTGAACTTTGTTGTTTTGACTATTCAGGGTTCCTTGTAAATTTTAAAGTTAGATTGTCGTTTTTTGCAAAGAAACTAGCTGGAATTTTGATGCGGATTGTGTTCAATTTGTAGACCAATTTGGGGAATATTGTTATCTTAACAGTTTTAAGTTCCAATCTATGAACATAGGATGTCTTTTTGTTTATTTAGTTCTTATAATTTCCTTCAATGATGCTTTGTAGTTTTCAGTGTACAAGTCTTGCACTTCCTAAGTATTTTATTCTTTTTAATGTTATTGTAAATGAAATTATTCTCTTTATTTTAGGATTACCCATTGTTAGTGTATAGAAATACAGTTGTTAGTGTATAGAAATACAGTATATTGATACTGTATTCTGCAGCCTTGCTGAACTCATTTATTCTGGTATTTATTTTGGTGAATTCCTTAGGATTTTCTCTGTGCAAAATTATGGCATCAGTGAATAGAAGTAGTTTTATTTCATCCTCTTTAATCTGAATGCCTTTTATTTTTTCTTTGCCTAATTGCCTTGACTAGACACTCCAGTGCAGTGTTGAATGGAAGCTGTGAGAGCAGACATCTTTGTCTCATTCCTGATCTAGAGAAAAGCATTCAGTATTTCACAGTTAAATATGATGTTCACTGTAGGTGTTTTTGTAGATGCCTTTAATCAAGTTGAGGAAGTTCCCCTTTATTTCTAGTTTGTTGAGTGTTTTGTCGTTGTTTTAAAATCATGGAATGGTGTTACATTTTGTGAAGTTTTTTCCTGCTTCACTTGAGATGATCTCGTGATTTTTTATGTCCTTTATTCTGTTACTATGGTGTTATTATATTGATTGGTTTTTTGTTTGTTTGTTTTTTTGTATACTAAACCTACCTTGATTCCTGAGATAAGTGCCACTTGGTCATGGTTTAGGATCTTTTTAATATATGTGTGGATTTGGTTTACTGGTTTATTGTTAAGGATTTTTGTGTCACTATTCCTAGGGATATTGGTTTGGTGTGTGTATCTTTGTATATTATTTTAAAGTGTGATAATATATACATAACATAAAATTTACCATTTTATTCATTTTTAAGTGTACAGTTCTGTGGCATTAAGTACATTTAATTGTTCTGCATCCATCAGTCCCATCCATCTTCAGAACTACTTCATCTTCCCCAGCTGAAACTCTGTACCCATTACATACTAACTCCCTATTCCCCCCTGCACCCAGCCCTTGGCAACCAACATTCTGCTTTCTTCATCTGTGAATTTGACTACTCTAAGTACTTTCATATAAGTGGAATCATATAATATTTGTTTTTCTGTGATTGGCTTATTTCACTTGGCATAATATCTTCAAGATCTTCCATGTTGTAACATGTATCATAAACACATTTTCTTAAAGTTTGGATAATCCATGGTATGTTTATATCATATTTTGTTTATTCATTTGTTGATGGACACTTGGGTTGCTTCCACCTTTTGGCTATTGTGAATAATTCGGTTATGAACATGGGTGTACAAATATCTGCTCAAGCCTCTTCTTTCAGTTTTTTGGTATGTGTGTATCCAGTAGAGTTGCTCAATCACATGGTAGTTCCATTTAAGTTTTTGAGAAACCTCCATAGTGTTATTCATTGTAGGTGCACAGTTTTATACTCTTATCAGCAGTGTACAAAAGTTCCAGTTTCCCCACATCCTTACCAACATTTTTTTCTATATTTTTTATAATAACCATACTAATAGATGTGAAATTTCCTTGTCCATTTTTAATATCAGGGTAATACTTGCCTCATAAAATAAGTTGGGAAATGTTCCTTGCTTTTCTATTTTTTGGAAGACTGAAGGATTGATGTTAGTTCTTTAAACGTTTTGTATAATTCACTGGTGATGCCATCTGGTCCTGGGCTTTCCTTTGTGGGAAGTTCTTGATTACAAGTCATTCTTTTTACTTGGTACAGGTCTTCAGATTTTCTGTTTCTTCTTGAGTCAGTTTTGGTGGTTTATGCTTTTCTAGGAAATGTTCATTTTACCTGGGTTATCTAATTTGTTAGCATACATTTGTTAGTAGTATATCTTACCATATTTATTTCTGTAAGGTCAGTGGTAATGTTTTCTTGGCCTGGCGAGGTGGCTCACACCTGTGATCCCAGAACTTTGGAAGCCTGAGCTGGGAGGTTCACTTGAGCCCAAGAGTGTGAGAACAGGCTGGACAACATAGTGAGTCCCTGTCTCTACAAAAAAAAAAAAATCAGAAAGATGAACCAGGTATGGTGGTGTGCTTCTGTGGTCCCAGCTACTCAGGAGGCTGAAATGGGAGGTTTGCTTGAGCCTAGAAGGTCAAGGCTGCAGTCAGCCATGATTGTGCCTTTGCACTCCAGCCTGGATGACAGAGCAAGACTCTGTCTCAAAAATAAATAAAATAAAAAGTAGTGATGTTTTTTCTTTCATTCTTATTATTAAATTTGAATCCTCTTTCTTTTTCTCTTTGTCAGTCTAGTTGAAGGTTTGTCCCTTTTTTTTAAATTTTTTCAAAGAACCAACTTTTGGTTTTATTTATTATATATTTTTAAATTTATTTATTTCTACTCTGATCTTTTCTGTTTCCTTCTGCTTGCTTTGGGTTTAGTTTATTCTTGCTTTTCATGTTTCTGAAAGTGGGAGGTTATGTTGTTGATTTGAAATCTTTCTTCCTTTGTAATATAGGCATTACCAGTAAAAAATTTCCCTCTTGTGACCAGATATGTTGGCTCACACCTGTAATCCCAGCACTTTAGGAGGCTGACATGGGAGAATCGCTTGAACCTAGGAGTTCGAGATCAGCCTGAGCAACAAAACAAAACCCTATTTCTAAAACAAAACATAGTCAGGCATGGTGGTATGCAGCAGTAGTCCCAGCTGCTGGGGAGCTGGGAAGTGGGAGGATCCCTTGAGCCCTGGAGGTCAAGGCTGCAGTGGGCTGTGATTGTGCCACTGCATTCAAGCCTAGGCAGCAGAACAAGACCCCATGTCAAAAAAAAAATAAAAATAAAAATCCCAAAACAAACAAATTTCCCTTTAATCACTGCTTTTGCTGTACCCAAAAGTTTTATATTATATTTTAATTTTCATTCGTCTCAAAGCGCGTTCTTACCTATCTTGTGATTTCTTGTTTGTGCCATTGGTGATTAAGGAATGTGTTGTTTAATTTTCACATATTTTTGAATTTTCCATATTTCCTTCTGTTGATTTTTAATTCCATTGCAGTCAGACAACATATTTGGTATGATTTCACTTCTTTTAAATTGTTGAGGCCTGTTTTACAACCTAACATATGCTCTATCTTGGAGAATATTTCATGCGCACTTGAGGAGAATCTGTATTTTACTGTAATTGGGTGGAGAGTTCTGTAAATGTGTTTTAGGTCTATTTGGTTTATAGTGTTGTTTGAGTATTCTATTTTCTTGTTGATCTTTTGCCTAATTCTGAGGTATTGAAGTCTCCAACTATTATTGTTGGTGTATTTCTCTCTTTAATTCTGTTAATTTTTGCTTTCTGTGTTTTAGATCTCTGTTGTTAGATGCTTATGTGTTTATAATTGTTATATCTTCCTGATGGATTAACCTTTTATCATTACAAAATAACCTTTCCTGGCTGGGTGTGGTGGCTCGTGCCTATAATTCCAGCACTTTGGGAGGCTGAGGCAGGTGGATTGCTTGAGCTCAGGAGTTTGAGACCAGCCTCGGCAACATGGCAAAACCCCATCTCTATAAAAAATACAAAAATTAGCCAGACGTGGTGGTGTGTGCCTGTAATCTCAGCCACTTGGGAGGCTGAGGTGGAAGGATCATTTGAGCCTGGGACACAGAGGTTGCAGTGAGCTGAGATTACGCCACTGCACTCCAGCCTGGGTGACAGAGCCAGACCCTGTCTCAAAAAAACCCCCAAAACAGTGGGGAAAAAGAACAGCCTTTCTTGTCTCTAGTAACAGCTTTTCAGTGTCCTTTTTTCCCCCCCAATGTTATTGTAGTCACCCCTGCTCTCTTTGGTTATTGCTTTTAGGGTATATATTTTTTCATCATTTTATCTTCCTGTTGTATTGACCTTTTTATTATGAAGTGTCTTAGTTTCATTTCTTGCCTTAACGTCTGTTCTGTCTAATATAGCCATTCCAGCTCCTGTATGTGTGTATGATATCTTTTTACATCCTTTTATTTCAGTCTCTGTATCTTTGTCTAAATTGTGTTTGATGTAGACAGCATATGGTTGTATAATATATTTTAAAAATTCATTCTGCAAACCTCTGCCTTTTAATTATTGTCCATTTGCATTTAATGTAATTACTGGTAAGACAGGATTTACATTTGCCGCTTTGCTCTTTGTTTTCTTATCTCTTACATCTTTTTGTTCCTCTAATCGTCCATTACTCCTGTGTTTTATATTAAATACATATTTTCTGGTGTATCATTTTAATTCCCTTGTTTCTTTCTCAATATACATTTTTATTTTCTTCATGGTTGTCCTGGGGATTACAATTAATATCTTACATTTACAGAGAAGTAACCTTTACTCAGGTTCTTTAAATATTAACATTTTATCACATTTGCTTTATTTCTCTCTCTATGTATGTATTTAGATATACAGACATATATAATGTGCATGTGTGTATAAAATGTGTATGTATTTTGTTGTTCCTGAACTGTTTGAGAATGAATTACAGACACCATGCCCCTTTACCCTTATATACTTCCTAAAAATGAGGATATTCTCTTAACCTTAGTATATTTATCAAAACCAGGAAATTAACATTGATCCAGTACTAAATCCTTTGAAGCTAAAATGTAAAATAAAACACATAATAATTTCTGTTTCAAGATCCAGTCCAGGATACCATGTTGTTTTTGGTTGTCGTATTTGTCTAGTGTACTTGTCTTTGGTGACTCTGGCATTTTTTAGGAATAGAGGCTAGACCATTTTTAGACTGTTTTTTGGCCAGGCACGGTGGCTCACACCTGTAATCCCAGCACTTTGGGAGGCCCAGGCGGGCAGATCACTTGCGGTCAGGAGTTCAAGACCAGCCTGACCAACATGGCGAAACCCTGTCTCTCTCTACTAAAAATACAAAAATGAGCTGGACATGGTGGTATGCGCTTGTAGTCCCAGCTACTCGGGAGGGTGAGGCATGAGAATTGCTTGAACCCAGGAGATGGAGGCTGCAGTGAGCCAAGATGGTGCCACTGCACTCCAGCCTGGGTGACAAAGTGAGGCTCTGTCTCAAAAAAAATAAAAGACTGTTTTTCATTTCGGGTTTTCTCATTATTAGATTCAGGTTATACATTTTTGGTGGGAATATCAAAGAAGTGAGAATTGTGCTGTTTACAGTGCACCATATCAGGAGGCACATAATAAGATCTCCCCCCTTGCTCCCCCTTAGATTTAATATCTGCTAGGTACATTTGACGATTTCATATGTTGTTTGATTTATTAATTTCTGTAGAAATTAATGATGGATATCCCATGGTAATGAACTACACCCACCTCAGAATCAGCCTCAACAGGCTGCCATAACAAAATACCACAGACTGGGTGGCTTAAACTACAGAAACTTATTTTCTTACAGTTGGGGCTAGAAGTCCAAGATCAAGAAGTCATTAGAGGCCGGGCGCAATGGCTCACGCCTGCAATCCCAGCACTTTGGGAGGCCAAGGTGGGCATATCACGATGAGGTCAAGAGATCGAGACCATCCTGGCCAACATGGTGAAACCCCGTCTCTACTAAAAATACAAAAATTAGCCGGGCGTGGTGGCACATGCCTATAGTCCCAGCTACTTGGGAGGCTGAGGCAGGAGAATCGCTTGAACCCGGGAAGCGGAAGTTGCTGTGAGCTGAGATTGTGCCACTACACTCCAGCCTGGCAGCAGAGCGAGACTCCGTCTCAAAAAAAATAAAAATAAAAAAGAAGTCATTAGAGTTGGTTTCTGGTGAGGATTCTCTTCTGGGCTGCCTTCTTGCTGTGTCCTCACCTGGCCTTTCCTCTGTGCACTGACAAACAGGGAGATCTCTGATGTCCCTTCCCCTTCTCATTAAGACACAAGTTTTATTGGATTAGGGCCCTACCCTTATGACCTCATTTAACCTTGTTTATCTCCTTAAAGGCACTATCTCCAAATATAGTCACATTGAGAGTTAGGGCTTCAATTGATGACTTGGATTTGGGGGAGTAGACACAATTCAGTCCTTAACACTGATGATGCTAGGGGACTTTTGTTTCTTTCACCAAAGAGGCTCTAGTTTTTACATCTACTGAGTACATTTGATGATTTTATGTATGATTTGATATATTAACTCTATAGAAATTAATGATAGATACTCCATAGTAATGACGTATACCCACTTAGGAATCAGCCAAGTGAAATTTTTTGTTTTTATATGACTTAATTCCACTTTAATCCTAAGGTAATAAATTTAAGCATTTCACATGTGTGCAGATTTAAAACTATGCTAAATTTTTTACTATTTGAGTCCTATCAGGTTCCTTTAAGTGAAATTGGCTTACTTATAGTACTTATGAATTAAATGTATTTCTGAAAAGTGTTACGCTTTAAAAACTGAATTTTTCCCATGCATTGTGATTCTAAGCGTACTTAGTTCATCACCCCCTCCTTCTACCCTTGTCCAATTTACATTGTCTTCTATGCTTAATTACCTTCCTGTTTTTTGTTTTATTTAGTTACAGACTTTGTTGGGGTGGGGGGAGAAATGTGTTGGATTTCTTTAGATATCATTGATATGGCATTGAAGTTAGTTTTCTTCTGTGTTTTATGATTTCTGCTTTATATTTATGATCTTTTTCTTCATTGAGGTTAAACATGATTTTTAAATGGGATTATTTTATTTTGTAATGATTAAATTATATAGTAAATTGTGAGGATATGTAGGTTTCCAAAAAAAAAAAATACAAACTAGTGTGCGTATTAGGCAATTTGGGGTCCTGTTTGCTTTGTTACAAATTAGCATGGTGAGAACTGAAGGAAAGTCTGGCAGTTACCCTATTAATAGTTGAAGCTTTATATGGATTATTTTTCCATTTAACAATATTTATTAAATACCTACTTTATGCTAGGTGCCAGCTTCTAGAGATACAGAGGTGGTCAAAAATAGATAAGGTCCATGCCCTTAGGCAGCTTGGTCTAGTGAGGGGCAAACAAATCACAGATAAATGTAAAATTACACCTGTGAGTAGTGCTGTGAAGGAGAGGTTGAGGATGGTAAGGGTATATGATAACTGAAGGAATTTGTCTATTTTAGAAATTCTGGAAAGGCTTCCCTGAAAGAATTAAAGATGTGTAGGAGTTAAGTAGGTTAAAGAGAACAGAAAGATGAGTTCAGGAATAGTGGCGTAAAGCAACCATTGATTGTGCCCGTAGATTCTGTGGGGATGGGATTCAGACAGCAGTTTATCTCTGCTCCATGATACTGAGAACCTCAGCTGGAAGACTAAGTCTGGGGATGACTTGATGACTGTAGGCTGGACTCATGTGAAGGCTCCTCCTCTGGCCTTCAGGGGCTGGTTGTCCAATGAGACCTTAGTGAGTCTATTGGACAAAACAACCATACGGGCCCTCTGCATTTAGCCTGGGTTCCCTCAGGACATGGTGTCCATGTTGCAGGAGGGGGTGTCCCAAGAGAGAACCAGGAGGAAGCTGTAGTGCCTTTCATGACCTAGGCTTAGACATGTCTCTTTCTGCTGTATTCTATTCACCGAGGCATGCACACACACAGTTCCACCCTGGTTCAGATCCAGGGGAAGTAAATGCCACTTTATTATGAAGAGAGACAAGGTTCTGGAAGAGTATGTGGGGCCAGAAATACTGCTGTGGCCTTTTGGGAAAATAGTCCGATACATGAAGCATTATGCCTGACAAGAAGCTAAATCCCAGAGAAATGATCTGGAGTGCAGAAAGCTAGAGAGAGACAGTTAGGGGATAGACCATTCAAGGCCTTGTAAAATATTTTAAACATGATTTAGGCTTATCTTAAGAACAGAGAAAAGCCATGAAGATTTTAAGGTTAACGTCAGATTAGTGCTTTATGAAGATCAGTATGAAGAGTAAATGTGTGTATGAGGCAGATGGAGCCCAGTTAGGGAGCTGGTGAAGTAATCTAGGCATAAACCAGGGCTAGGTGGTAGCTGTGGAGATGGACAGAAGTAGAGGAATTGGAGAGAAATGTATGAGGTCCAATCACCAGGTCCTGGGGATGGGGATGGGAGAACCAAGTGTTAAGAATGGAATTGGAGAGAAATGTATGAGGTCCAATCACCAGGTCCTGGGAATGGGGATGGGAGAACAAAATGTTAAGAATGATCCCCTGGCTTCTGGCTATGCTACTAGATGAATCTGGTGCCATTCACTGGGATGAAGAACACAAGAAGGGGACCAGGATTTACGGGGGAAGGATCATGAATTTGGTTTGGGGCAAACATTGAATTAGAGAAGATGTCAAATAGGCAGTTGCATTTGTGGGTCTGAAGCTCAGAGGAGAAGTCTAAGCTGGAGATAGAAATGTATGAGTCATCTACAGATAGGAGGTAATTGACATCTGGAGTGTGGATATGGTCAACCAGAGAAATCGACAGGAACAAAAAGAGAAGGCGGCTTAGCACTGGGGTTTGAGGAACTGAAGTATTTGATGACTAGGAAGATGAAGATGTACCAGAAGAGGAGACAGACTAGAACAGCCAGACCCATGGGAGGAGAACAGAGAGTGTGCTGTTCTAGGAGGCAGGGAAAAGAAGCCAGCATTTCAAGAGGAGGGAGTGGGCAGAAGGTCCGATACTCCTGAGAGGTAAGGTTAGGACTGAGACTTAATTGGATTTAGTGAAATAAAGTTCAGTGATGACCTTAACAGTAGCCATTTTGGAGAATAGGGACTCTGGAATCCAGATTGGGGTGTTGTCAGGAATGAGTCAGTGGTGTGGAGATGAAGATGGCAAATATAGATACCTCTTTGAAGAATTTATCCCCTCAGTGAGAAAAGAAATGTGAAGACAGGAGGGTTGTTGATGAAGGCAAGCATTTGATATTTTATCATGAGAAATGGGCAGTTTTTTGTTGTTGTTGTTGTTTGTTTTGTTTTGTTTTGTAGAGAGACAGGCTCTCACTCTGTTGCTCAGGCTGGTCTTGAACTCCTGAGCTCAAGTGATCCTCCCACCTCAGCCTCCCAAAGTGCTAGGGTTACAGGCATGAGCCACCATGTCCGGCCTAGACAGTTCTTTTTATTTATTTATTTATTTATTTATTTATTTATTTATTTATTTATTTATTTATTTTGAGACGGAGTCTCACTCTGTTGCCCAGGCTGGAGTACAGTGGTGCAATCTCAGCTCTCTGCTCACTGCAAGCTCCGCCTCCCGGGTTCACGCCATTCTCCTGCCTCAGCCTCCCGAGTAGCTGGGACTACAGGCGCCCGCCACTACACCTGGCTAATTTTTTTGTATTTTTAATAGAGACGGGGTTTCACCGTGTTAGCCACGATGGTCTCGATCTCCTGACCTCGTGATCCACCCGTCTCGGCCTCCCAAAGTGCTGGGATTACAGGTGTGAGCCACTGCGCCCGGCCTGGACAGTTCATTTTTAACGAAAGAGATGAGGTCACCTTCTAAGCGAGCGAGTAGAGATGCCAAAATGATAAAAGTTGAGAATATTTGAGATATTCTTGGTGAAAGATGTGATTATAGGAAAGAAAGGTAGAATCCATGCTATTGGTATTAATAGCTACCATTGATTCAGTATCTGCTCTGTGTTACATAGGAAATTTTTAGAGTAATCACTAATTAGTTTTATTTGCTTTTTATCTTAATCCCTTTTCGTCAGAAGAATGATGAGAATGGAAACTGCTCAGGGGAAGGAATTGAATTCCCTACAACAAATTTATATGAACTGGAAAGCCGTGTTTTGACTGATCATTGGTCCATCCCTTACAAGCGAGAAGAATCACTAGGCAAATGCCTGTTGGCATCTACCTACCTAGCAAGACTTGGTAAGTTTTCAGACCTTAGAACACATGAGGACATTTGTTTCATAGAAGGCCTGAGTTTAATCTTAGCCTTTGTTGTTGCCTAGCTGTGTGTTATTGGACAGATCATTTATTCTCTTAGTCTTCACTTATCTCCTGCAGAAGAAAAGCTTTGAACCAAATTAATTGTTTTCTTCTACCTTTGATAGAGTATAAGATTATTTAAAATATAATTGAAAAGCTTAATGGAAATTGAAATTAACTTTTTCCACAGAAGCTTGGAGTACTTTAAATTAAGGCTCATCAATTCAACAGCTTTTTTTTTAAGAGAAGAAAGTTATATTTATTTAACAAACTTGTGCTTATTAAGTACCTGACATTGTTTTAAGCTTTATAAATATCAAGCTATTAAAATAATAAAATATCAATAGGTTGGAAGAGTGGGTGTCAGTATGAACACCTGTACTAAAAAAAGAGAAAATAACTTATTTTTTCATATTGAATTCAGTTATGAAATGAATATGGCCAGAATATGGTGTATTTCTGACTGGCTTCTCAGCAGTAGCATTTATTGAGCACCTGTTAGGATCTAGGTACTATGCTAGGCAGTGGGTCTGAAAAAAAGAGAGTGTGTTTAGCAGTATTCCCAATGATAAGCAAAACCTATTATTGAGTTTAATAAAGAAATGTACTTTTTCCAAAAGATGATTTTACAGGGAACTTATTCATTAACTTAGCAAGTATTTATCACTTACTATGTGAATTGTGCCAGACACAAATCTGTGTAATGGAGTTCATTGGTTTGTTTTAGGGAAGAAGAGTAATTTAGGCATTTATTGCAAATATTTGTGTGGTTTTTTGGTTTTTGTTTTTGTTTTTGTTGTTTTTTTTTTTTTGGTTTTTGATTTTTGAGACAGGGTTGCTTAGGCTGCAGTGCAATGGCGTAGTCATGTCTCACTGCAGCCTCAACCTCCCAGGCTTAAGTGATCCTCCTACCTCAGCCTCCCAAGTAGCCGGGACAACAGGCAAGCACCACCACACCCAGCTTTTTATTTTTTGTAGGGACGGGGTTTCACTGTGTCGCCCAGGCTGGTCTCAAACTCTTGGGCTCAAGTGATCCTCTTGCCTCGGCCTCCCAAAGTTCTGGGATTAGAAAATATTTGTGTTTCTATAGAACTTTTTAGGGAAATAATAATGGCTAGTAAGTAGCTGCTGTTGGTGTTTTATTAGCTATTTAATCAGATCATTGAAGTTACTCTGACATGGAAATGTAAGTTCAATCATTTCAGTTCAATTGGTATTTATTTAATCTAATGCTATGGTTATTTCTCAGCCTTTCCTTCATCAAAGGTATATATTCTACTTTTAATAATTTCGTAAGAACTAAGGTTCCTATGACATAGTTCCATATGTATGGATTTAGAATGATGTATATGATTTTTACGAACTACCAAAGACCTAAATAACGTGTATTATTTCATTCATTTTACTAAGGTCTTTCTGAGTCTGACTTAAATAAAGTATATTATTTCATGCATTTTACTAAGGTCTTTCCGAGTCTGATGAGAATTGTAGAAGGTTTATGGACAGGTGTATGCCTGAAGCATTTAAAAAGGTAAGAAAAATGTGCTGCTGTGATATTTTGTGTGTGTCGGGGTGGGGGCAGGGTGAAGGAAGAGAAGCTTTTTGTTTTAATTTTAGTTTTTTATGTATAAGACCAGTTTATGAATCTTGTTTAACTGAGGAATCCTCTAATATGAAAAACGGAACTCTGAATTTGGGGCTTATAAATGATTTACTTCTTTTATATTGTCTGTATGTGTCTTTGGTTAAATATAACTTTTATTAATAATAAATACTTCCTACTATTTAATTGCTAAAGAATAGATTAAGACTTAATTATACTAGACTTAATAGATTAAGACTTAATTATACTAGGATATTGCACATATTAGTAAACAAAGGCTTGTGGCACTTAGAAAGACAGTATACACTTATCAAAATATGAGCCATTTTAAGTGTGTGAGACAGGAGAAGACATTTTAAACTACTAAAAGATTGACTAGGTATTCTCACTGACATGCATAAGGCACCATCTCTATTAGAGCCAGAGTGATATGCCTACTTCCATTTGGGTCACATCTCTTAGAAAGCAGTGTTTCTTAACAATGGGAATGGGAGATCACAAGAATTGTGTTTCTAAAAACAGACTGAATCAGCCTCCCTTTTTAGCAGATGAGCCTTGAATCCTCATTAGAGCAAGGACTGTGTCTGTTAACATACTGCCCTTTCCCCCAGCATATAACTAAGTGCCTAGCTCATAGAAAGAGCTCAGAAAAGTTGCAATGAATGATTCTTTTGCTGGCTTAACTGCTGGATTTTGACACCCATTTTTGTCCAATATGTAAATAAGTCACTAGAACTACAGATGGGTAATGTTTGCGTTTATCTTAAGACCCAGTTAAGGCCGGGTGCAATTGCTCACGCCTGTAATCCCAGCACCTTGGGAGGCCAAGGCAGGCAGATCACAAGGTTAGGAGTTCAAGACCAGCCTGGCCAACATAGTGAAACCCTATCTCTACTAAAAATGCAAAAAATTAGCTGGGCCTGGTGGTGGGCACCTATAATCCCAGCTACGCAGGAGGCTGAGGCAGGAGAATCTGTTGAACCCGGGAGGTGGAGGTTGCAGTGAGCCAAGATCACACCATTGCACTCCAGCCCGCGTGACAGTGCGAGGCTCCGTCTCAAAAAAAAAAAAAAAAAAAAAAAAAGAGACCCAGTAAAACAAAGAGTTCATTTGCAAATAGTTATTCCCAGTTGCATTTTGGTAGGCAGAATCTCCCTTGATTCAAGCCTTAAAAAATATATATATAATTAATTTTAGAAGCAAAAGTAGCTTCATTTTTTAAAAAATGGAGAAATCTTTTCAAATTGTCATTTGGGCAAAGATTATATGAAATGAAGATTTATCTTCATTTTAGATTAGCTCATCCATCAGTTTGTAGTTTAAAATAATTTTAAGCTTTTAAGAATTACAGCAGCTTTTAAAAAATCCAAAATTGGCTAGGCCCAGTGCTTCGCACTATAATCCCAGCACTTTGTGAGGCCAAAAGCGGGAGGACATCTTGAGGCCAGGAGTTTCAGACCAGCCTGGGCAACATGTGAGACCCCTGTCTCTACAAAATTTAAAAAAAGTAAAATAAAAATAGCAAAATTGTTATATTGTAACATACTGTGACACACATCACAGTGGATGCATAAACTTAAAAGGAAAAGTGTATTCAGAGTTGTGGAAAAGGACTTATTCAAGGTTGAGGATCTCCAGATCCAGAAATCCGTGTATCCAGTCCATTCACCAGCAAGTTGCATATTTGGAATATAATACTCTAACTCTGTACAGAGATACTTCAGAAAACTGTTTTGTCTCATGCCTTCAGCTGTTAGGAGCAGTATAATAAATGGTCACATGGTTGGTCATTTTTCTGTAAAACTGTGAGTACAAAGGTACCATGCCTTATATTATTCAGTTTTGTTAAAGTAAAAATATTAAATTCTTTTGCACTTTAGAGCTATTAAAAAGGTTCTCCTCCCCGTCAATTAGGCATACTTTCTTTTATTAAATCAGAAGAGCTAGAGTTCTGTGTGCCTTTAGGCTTGTCTGCCAGAAAACTCAGTAGGATTTGATATAATTGGTACTACTTACCTAGCTGTGTTTCTCGGTTCGATGACCATCCCTCTCCCCAATTCCCCAGGCTTTTCTCACGAGCTGTCACACATTTTCTTTTAGAAGTAAGGGTATGAATGATATGTGATTACATAAATAAGGTGCACAAAGGAGCTTTGTTGTCATTTCCACCTTCTTCACCTTTTACCTTCAGGCTAGCCTGGATTTTTACTAGTGTATTCAGGCAGAGAAGATAATTCAGGTTTGACCATAGTGCATGGTTATGTTTAAACCTTGTGTGCATCTTCTTCACAAGGTACTGCCTGCCTTTCCCTATCTCTTCTAGAATGTAGGCAGAATTGCATTTTCAAAGTGAAAAATGAGCAAATGGAATGGTGCCAGAGGGATTGCTGCTTAATCCACATACATTTTTATTTTGTAGTCACTTGAAGCTTCTTAATTGGTAATCTCTGCTTTGTTTTGCTTTATTATTTAATTTTTAACTATAGGAGGAATATATAGTCAGGCAAAAAAAATTCTGCAAAAAATAGTAACTTACTGGTTTACATAAAATCAGTCTTATGACTTCTGCTAATTTGAGCAAGTAGTGCGGCTAATTAGTATTTAGAAAATCTGGAACCGAGGTTTTTCTCTGCAGCTATTACAGTTTGGGCTCTTCCAGCCTGCTCTTTTTAAAGAGGTTCTCAGTGAAGCCAAGATGAAATTTTTGTTGTATAGTATTTTCCCTTTGAATATTTGTTGCATAGTATTTTCCCTTTGAAAAATCTTACAAAAACATGAAACCACCATACCAATTTAAGTGAAATCCTTTGATTTTTCATTTCTTGTTCTGGCACTTGTTCTACACTTCCCCAAAGACCAGAAGACTGAGAATTAAGGGCATTCAATTTCTCTACTTTTTAAGGAATCTAAGAAAGTATCTAATTATAAGATTTGTACCATTGTTTTATATTTGATGTTTTATGTTTAAGAAACATAGCTACAAAGTAAACAGTTTAATGTCTTAAAACTTAGAGCTAATTTAGATTTGCTTAAACAATTAAAAAAAAATATTATTTTGTACATACCAAAAAGGAAAATGTAAGCCAAATAAACTGTTAAGATATTTCTAAGATTTTTTTTCACATTCTGAGTCCTGCTGTCATCTAGTCAACAGGTAGAAAAAAATTATCCTATTTCTGAGATGTTAAAAAATATTAAAAGGATATGTATGTTAGAATCCGTGCAATACAGCATTCATTTCTTAGGTTCCAGAAATATTAATATGGACAGCCAGCCATCAAGATATATTAATAATGCCTTACCATTTATAAAATGCTTTTATATTTGTTATATCTTTTAATCCTCATAACATTTGTATGAAGTAGGTAAGAGTTATGCCTCTTTAGAGATAAGAGAACTGAGCCGTTGAGAACTCAGGTAAATTTGTTCAAGGCCACACAGCTAGAAAACAGTAATACTGGAATTGATCTCAGGTTTTTACCTTGCTCGGCACCATTTGACCTACCCTTGTAATTATGAAAAGTAGAGGACCAAATAAAATTTTTCTTTTAAACAAAGTGCTTTCATGCAAGAGAATTAAAATTCAAAAGCAAAACTCTGTATTGACTTTGAAATAAATGGGCAAGTAGATGAACTACAGCTATGGGTCTTTTAAAAGCCAATCATCTACATAAAAAAGTATTTTCATCATAATCTCTCACTTATTTGAGATGGACTTGATAAACTGTAGATTTATTTTCTTTTTTCAAGTTAGACTCTAGATTGCCCTTTATGTTTTTATAGCTCCTGACATCAAGTGCTGTTCACAAGTGGGGTACTGAAATTCATGAAGGAATTTACAACATGTTGATGCTATTAATAGAACTGGTCGCAGAGAGAATAAAACAAGATCCAATTCCCACTGGTCTCCTGGGTGTGCTTACAATGGTATAGTATCTCTAAAATTAAGTACTTTGTGTTTTGATTTTGTTTAAAATACTTGCTGTTCTCTGACTTGTAATTAATAATGAGTGATAATAATTTTATCGTTAAGGATATTAGCTGTTAGGATCCTTTGTCTTTATTTTAAAAGCAGAGCAACCATCTTGTGTTCTCAGTTTGAAAGAAGTGCTTTTCTAATTTTAATGGGTTTTTCAACTTACGGAATGATTAAATGCCTTTCTCTTACCTCTCCCCGATTATTCATGTCTTAAATACTTTCATATGGAGTGTTCATGTAGATGGAGTTTGGTTTCTGGCCTTTTCCCCCAACAGGTAACAGTAGCTGCATGAAGAAGGGACCCTCATATTTTCCCCTCCTGACTTCTGCCCTCAGTGCCTCTGTTCCTCATCTCATCCCCGGTAGCCCTAGCACACTTGGGGCATTGGCATCACACTGCCTTGAGTCAGACCTCTTATCCTGTTACCTCCTCCTCTTCCTTCACAGTGAACACTGAACAGGACAGGAGAATAGCACATTAATTCTTAGCACTTTTGCACTAGCTAAGGCGTATGCTTTCGGTGTATTCTTGAAAGATCCCATTAATGAGGGGAGTCAAAGGCTATATTTTTATCTTCTTTTCTAATGCTAATATGTGTTGCTATAGAAATAGATAATAATGTTTCTCTGTTCTCTTTGAATCTAGGCTTTCAATCCTGATAATGAATACCATTTTAAAAACAGAATGAAAGTGTCTCAAAGGAATTGGGCAGAAGTGTTTGGAGAGGGAAATATGTTTGCTGTTTCACCTGTATCGACTTTCCAAAAGGTAAACATCATTTAGTTTCATCTTTTTATAGAAAAATGTATTGAAAAAGAAGATTTTCTGTGCTATAAAAAAGACAAGTTACATGGGAGGATTAAAACAATCTGAAAAATGACAAATATCCCATCTGGCTCATAAAATTGCCTACATTTTTTTTCAGACAGTGCATAATTTTTCCATAGCTCTTAACTAATATCATGAAGAATTTTATAGGTTTGAAATGATGTTTAGTAAAATGAGAAATGTCTTTAGCGTCATCTATTAGATTATCAGAACCCCAGTTTAATTGGTGTTCCAGTTTCTTAGAGAGAGTTGAGAGACTATAGCATTTAAAATGATTACTTGTACCTAGAAAAAATAATCTAGTACTTAATCTCATATATATTTTCTTTTGAACTTCATATGCATTAAAACTTGCTTTTTCAGGCCTGGAACCAGTATATTTTATATCAAAAGACTACAGTCTGCCAATAAGAGTATACTCACAAGAAGTAGATAATCTAAACAGTCCTTTAGTTAAAACACTGTTTGGTTTCAGAAACAGTTGAAAGAAGTTGAGTTTAATCAATAGAAAACTGGTTCATTGCTTTAGTGGAAGCAGAGGTTTAGGTCAGCAATCATTTATTTAACATTTACTATGTGTCTGGCATTATTCTAAGTTTGAGGTATAAACATAAGTACACAGTCCTGTCTTTTAATATAAACAGTAATAAGATGTGATTACTAGCTTGTAGTATAGTGGAGGAAATACGAAAACAAAAAAATGACAGCATAATAAATAGTAGGTGGAATTATAATAATATGTACTGTACATAGAATCCAGGGGAAGGGGTAGTTATTGCCACCTTGAGGAGTCAGACAGTTCCCCAGAGAGGAGGAAAAAGCTGAGTGGAAAGGACAGTGAATATGTACTTTGGAATTTAATCCCCACAATGGCTCTTTGAGTTGGGTACTATTTTTACCCCCATTTCATAGGTGAGAACTGAAACAGACAGAAGTGAAGTACTTGCCCAAGTCCACATACCTAGTTACAGGGAGAACCCATGCAGGCAGCTAGTCTATGTTCTTTAACCATATGCAGTATTGCCTCCCCAAATGCTAAACTCTTCTCTTCAGATGTGTTGTGAAGATCAAGTGACAAATACACATAGAAATACTGAACGTGGTGGTTCACTCTAGTGAGCGCTCAGCAGATGTTCATTCTCTTTTTTTCACTTTACGTATGCATCCACTGAGACCCAGAAAGGTGCAGTCTTTGTGTTTCCTCTCATTACCACAAAGGAATTCTCTCTCCTCTAGATCCCCTCTTCTCTTGCCTTCTCAAGCATATTCCTCCTTCAGCTTTCTATTTTTTCTTTGGTATCCTCAATCTTTCCCTCACTGTTGGGATTGTTACTCTTGTATGCAACATGATGTAGTATTTCCCATCTTTAAATATTCTGCCTTTAATATCATATCCCTCTGTATGGTCCTCTGCTCCCCTTCCCAACCAGACCTCCTGAAGATTCCATGTCCTCCCTCTCAGTTATTCTTTCAGTGGTTATCCTAAAATGTTAACTTACTAAACAAAATCTAAATTTCACTAGTATCTTTCTCCTCCTTGAGCAGTACATAAAGACCTTAGAATGTTGCATGTGCTCGCTCCCCTCTTAAATGATTCATTACCTCTTTATTTTACTTGTGCATTGTCTTAGTCCCCTCCTATCATTTTTTACCCGGTAAAGTTGATAGTGCATTCTATAAAGAATCCTTTAGTAAGGTTCTGTTTGTGGGTAAGTCTTGGTTTTTGATGGCCTGAACTTTACTTTATTTCCCATTCCTTGAAGTATGTATTTTCACTGGGTTCAAAAGTCTAGATGATATTTCTTTTCTCTCAGAATATTAAAGATACCATTTCACTGTCTTGTGGCTTTGATTATTGCTGTGGAGAAGTTGGCTATTGATCTGACTGTGGTTCTTCTATTAGAAGTCTCTCTCTCCTCCATGGCTGTATTTTGAAATCTTTTCTTTCTCTTTAATGTTTGTAAATTTGATTGTAATGTGATTAACCATGGTATTCTTTTTATTTATTTTGCTTCAGATTCATTGGGCTTCTGAATCTATGGTTAATGTCTTACATCAATTCTGGAAATTTCTCAGCCTTTATCTTTTAAAATATTCCCTCTTCCCCATTAGTCTCTCTTCTTCTGAAACTTGATTGGATACATGTTAGACTGACTCATTCTGTCCTCTGTGACCCTTAACACCTTTTCACATTTTCCATTTTTTTGTCTCCTTGTGTTGCAATTGTGATAACTTTTTTCCAGATCTATAGTAGTACAATTCACGGATTTTTTTTAAATTTATATCTACTTTGCTGTTTAACTTGTTTATTTAAGTCTTTAATTTTGGTTACTGAATTTTTAATTTATATAAATTTTGTTTTTTTGACTGTTTCATTTTGTATTGTCTCATGTTCTTAACTCATATTTTCAAGCCCTAATTTGTTTAATGCTTACTTTATATTCTGTGCCTGATATTTACAAGTCTGATTCTGCTGGCTTTTACTCACTTGCTTTGTGTATGTATGTAGGTGTATGGAAATATATGTATACTTATTTGTTTGTTCATTTTTCTGTGAACTCATATTTCTTAGCATTTAATCTAGGAGGGGGCAGTTTGAGGCTTAAGTTGAAAGTTCTTTCTTCCAAAAAGGATGTACTTTTTGGTAAGTGCCTGGAAGCACTACAGTTTGTGACCATTTTAGAATAAATTATCAACTTAAGGTTTTTCAGACCATAATGTCAGTGTGAATTTGAGCAGTAAAGCCATATGAGGGCAATTCTGTGGTTATGAATTCTTGGAGAATTTTTTTCTCCCTTTAGGCATCCTTATTTTCCCTTTCCGCAGGTAAATCTATTTCAGTTCATCTGACACCAAGGATGTAGCCCTTTAGTTCCAGCTTTGCGTTGCATTTCCTTCTTGAGTCACCCTGTCCCACCTGGGGTTGATGTCCTTTTCTCCTGCAAATGGACACTTACGGTCACCAGGGCTCTGCAGCTGCCTGTGGGTGAATCTGGCTTCAGAGCCTTCCTGCCTGTCTCACAGGATTCCTGCTTTCTCTTCGTTTTAAGCTTCTGAGCTTTTTAATTTTTTTTTTTGTCAACTCAACTATATTTTTTAAAATATTATATTTTAGTGTTTTTATCCAGTAGTGTTATTTTTAGCTGGAGAACCATTTAGGATACTTAGACAGAAGTCTACTAACTTTTCAGGGCATTCCATTCTGCCTTCGTCCACCATCTGCTGAAATAATTCTCGTTAAGACACCAACACCCCTGCATGTTTCCAGATTGGAAAGAAATGTCCCTTGACCCCCATCAACAGCACTGACCCCAGTTGCTCCCTTCTTGGAGATATTTCTTGCTTGGCTTTCAGGATACTGCAGTGCCTTGTGTTTCTGCTTGCCCCCAAGCCATGTTTCCTCTGTTGACTCCTTCACCTCTATCCAGTTTTGATCTTCAGCGCTTCCTTTCTTTATTCACTACACTTTCTCTAATGGATTTAAATGTCATATTTATGCCGATGGCCCTCCAATTTATATCTCTGTGGCCCAAACCTCTTCTCTGAGTATACCAGACTTGAAGAGTCAATTATCTCCTTTTGGTTGCCATACAGAGTTCTCAAACTTAGTGTGTCTGAAATGGAATTTCATTTTGCCTCTCCAGCCTTTATTCTCCTTTTTAGTAAATAACATCATCATCTATCTAGATGCTCAGGCCAGAAACATAGGAGTCAGCCAGGATTCATTCCTTGAATAAAGAATAACCAAACCATAAACAAGTCCTTTGATTTAATCTCTAATATGTCTCCATTTGACCTCTCTCGGCGCCTTCTGCTGCCATCCTTCTCCACACACAGCTGTGAACTATCTAGACACTGCACTGGCGTTCTGACTGGTTGTGTCTGACTATGTCTCATTCTCCCATTCATCTATTCCATTCCATTCTTCACAGAACTGCAAGAGTGACCTTAAAATATAAAACACTCTCTTCCTGAAAACGCTTCTGTTGCTTTCTTTCTAATTATGGTCTGTAAGTGTCTCCATGATCTACATTCTTTGCCTCTCTGTACAACCTCATCTCTGCCACTCCTGGCTCACCGTGTCCCAGCTGGGAGAGTTTTTTAAACACAGCAGAGTCTTTTCTGCCATCCCCCATCAGGACCTTTGCCATTTTAGCCTCTCTGCCTGGACTGTTCTTTAAACGGCTACATCTGTCTTGTCCTTTAAAGATTATGTTTTCAGAGAAGTCTTTCATGACCACCACCCCAAGTAGAGGAAGGTCCTATTTTTCTTTCGAGGCCTTTTTGTTTTTCCTTTCGTGGGACTTAGCACAATTTGAATTGTCTTCTGTATATGATGCTCTACTTGGTTTTGTTGACCCTGCTAGAATGAGCTTCATAAAAGCAGGTACAACATCTCTTCGTAGTCACTGTTCTGTATCTAGTCCCTAGAACAGTGAATGCTCAAAAAGAAAAGAAAAAGAGGAGAAAATAGAGCTTGCTTAAGAGCATTAATTAATGATCTAACTGGGACTAAAACTTTTAATCTCTGCTGATTTACTGCTTCTTATGTTAATAATTAAGTTTTAATTTCTAAAATAAAACTTTTTTGGAGAATTTAACTCAGGTTATCCTGTATGTTGGAGAGCTTAAACAACTGATCTCAGCTATCCAAAAATGCATAGATGCTCCACATTGTGGCAGTTCCATCAAAATACAGACTTACAGACTCCCAAAATCATATACAGTAATGTTAAAGACATCTTAGGAAGCGTTTGGGAAAAAAACTTTGAAAATAGTTTCCAAACTTTTATAATTTTTCTTCTGACTTTTCATTTAGGATAAAAGAAATGTAAGGGTTAATGGGGAAGCTTTTATATTGCCATCTCAATTTTGTTTTTCTTTTCTCATAGGAGCCTCATGGATGGGTTGTGGATTTGGTAAATAAGGTATATGACTTTTGTTAATATTGTCATGTAGCATATTTTCAATTTTCTAATGAGACGTCCTAGAGTTTGGTATATTAAGCAAATGGCAGCTGCAGAGAATAATAAAAAAAATGCTTTAAGGAGTGGATTTCATATTTTCTTCCTTTTTTTGTATGTACAATACTAGCAGGTAAACATCAGCTTTTGGACTTAGTACTATCTGCAGTATGCCACAGGAGCATTAGAAGGATCAATGCAAGGATTCTCTCAAGACCAATGTTACGGAGCACAACGATAAAGTAGAATTTTAGCTTTAGTTCCTTGCTTAAATTATTAATATATAATATTTTAAAATTAATATGTGTAGTACAATAGGATGACTGCAGTCAATAATAACTTAATTGTATATTTTTAAATAACTTAAATAATATAATTGGATTGTTTGTAACTCAAAGGATAAATGCTTGAGGGGATGGAAACCCCATTCTCCATGATGTGCTTATTTCACATTGTATGCCTGTATCAAAACATCTCGTGTGCCCCATAAACATATACACCTACTATGTACCAATAGAAATTTTTCAAAATAAAAAAATTAAAGAGAAAAATAACTTAATGTGTGCCTTTTTTCTTCTCAGTTTGGAGAATTAGGTGGATTTGCAGCAATCCAAGCCAAGCTCCATTCAGAAGATATAGAACTTGGGGTAAGTTAAACTACTGTATATGCTCACTGTGGAAATTCATTTCACTTGAGTTGGTGTACAGCCAGAGGATATGGTCTGGACATGCCAAGTTAAATGTTAAATTAAAGGTTCATCTTTAGAGGAGCAGATTCCACGGTCCTGATAACCAAAGAAATGTTTACTCCTAATTATAACCAAATTGCTATGTAGAGTTTTTTCCTCACTATTTTTTCTTTACCTGTGGCATTTTTCTCTTAATTTGTAATGGTTACATGAAATTATCTTACTGTTTAAAGTTGGTTGCTATATGTGGCAAGTATATATATGCATAACAATTTTATGGCTCAGTTAAACGATTATATAAAATCAGAATTTACTTCATAGACTCAGGCACAAATAAAAATACTTTTAACAGAGTTGTTTAGTAAGCTTTTTGGTGTTACAAAAACTTCTAGATAACAAATGGCTATAACATGGGAGCTTAGAATCATCAGGTGCAGTGTTCATATCAACTTCATTTTCTCAAAACATAACCTCATAGTTAGGGGAATAACTAATCTTTAATTTTTCAGACACTGTTGACCTGTTTGTTGCTGAGAGCACTTCATTCTTTTCTCTAATTAATCATTCAACTAAAAACTATTACGTACTTGGCATGAATAAGACACTGCGCTATCTGCTGTAATTTGATCAGTACAGAAAATAATGTGTTAAAATAATACACCCAGGTGTTACAGATTGTGCTTACAGTTGCAGTTATTTTTGTGAAACCATGACTAATCAATTCCTATTGGTCCCTCTATGGGTGAAGGAAATAGCAATGCTCAAGGAGAGAGACTGATGGTGTAGTAATAGATTGACTCTTTCTTGCCACCCAGTGTTTATCCTAAAGATCAGATGTCTGCCATATCACAGACACTGATGCAGAAGCCTCCACTTGCTTCCCTGGAAGTTAATTAGGTTGTTGAACTGTCCTTGTGATCCCCATTCAATAGATCAAGTATGTTGGAAAGGACTTCATTGAGTTGGAAGATAATATATAACAATTTAAAAAGCAAAACCAAAGAAAAACCTCTTCAGATCCAGGGTTAAAAAAAAAAAAATACAGAGCACTCCCAAATTTCTATCCTACTTGGATGAAAATTGGCTCAGGATAGATAGATGGGAATCTGGGCATAGCCCTCATTATTATCAAATGTGCTAAAGTTAAAGAGTCTTGCAAGATTTTTCCATAAGGTCAGACCATTTTTCAGAACAATTGTGTTGTCTGCTGCAGTTGACACAGAATTATATTGTTTAGGTTGTATTGAGGGGATAGTAACACTCAGGCATTGGAGAGATTCCAAAGGTGTGGACTTTTGTAGGAGACAGGTATAATTAGAATTCACACGTGCTGAATTTCTGACCAGTTAAGGTGGCTGTGTCCCAGGATAAATTTAGGCCATAATATTAAGTCTGAGTACAACTTTGGAATTTAAAAATACTAGGAAAAAATATCACTCACAAGCCCACTAGTTAAAAACACCTATACAAAACAAGAAATGAAAGTTGTTGCTCATCCTTCTTCCTGATCCCCACACACATACCTAGGTAACGGTTACCAGTTTAACAGATGCCTTTCTGGCTTTTCCCTGAATTTATATAAATCTATGCATGTTCTTTCTCTCTCTCTCTTTTTCTCCTAAACCTAAATTATCAAGCTATACCTGGTTGTATACTTTCATTTAACATAATATCATGGTCATCTTTCCAGGTTAGTACTATCAGTGTTTTTAATGACTGCAAGTGATATATTTCTGCAAATGGTATACCATGATGCAGACACTTACTAATGGGCATTGGATTATTTCTATGTTTTTGCTATTATAGAGAGTGTTCCTTATAAATATGTCTTCATGTACGTGCAACTATTTCTGAAAGATCAATACCTAGAGAATGAGATTTCTGAGTTGAAGATTACAGTCATTCCTTGGTATACTGGGGGATTGGTTCCAGGATTCTGGGTATACCAGAATCTGTCTATACTCAAATCCTGTAGGCAGCCCTGCAGAGCTCACGTATATGAAAAGTCAACCTTCAATCTGGGATGCAGATTTTGCATCCCAGGAATATTGTATTTTCAGTCCTCATTTTGTTCAAAAAATCTGCATGTAAGTGAACCCATGCAATTCAAGCTTGTTTGTTCAAGGGTCAACTGTATATTTGTTTTAAAATTATAATTGACAGTGCTAAATGTCTTTCTAAAAAGCTTTTTTGCCCATCAGTACTCCCACAAACCCATTTCATAATAGTCTCATTAGTGCTAAATATTTTCAATCTTTAATGTTCCAGTATGATGGACAAAAAATGGTATTTTATTATTTAATATGTAATACTCTGATTTCTTGTGAACTTGAGCATTTTGTCATATGATTATTGGTTATTTGTATTTCTTCTGTGAATTGACCTAGTTTATTTAGGTCTCTTTGGGTGACGTGTTTTGTTAATTTTTAGGAATTATTTTTATATTAAGCTTATCAATGCTGTATCTATTTTGCATATTTGTAAATCTTTTCTCCTAGTATTTTGCTTCTTTTCATTTTTATTGATGGTATCTTTTGCTATATAGAAGTTTCAGACTTTTACGTAGTCAAATTTTTCCTTGGTGTCTTAAAAGTTTTCTAACTTGCTTAGATAATGTTCTCCCACCTCAAGTTTATAAAAATATATTTTTTCTTTTTATACTTTCATATTTTTATTTTTTTAACTTAGTCCTTGAATTCATTTAGAATTTATTTTTGTATATTTGAAAAGATAGGGATTTAATTTTATTTTCTTCCAAATAGGTAGCCAATTGTTGTTAGATCCTCTGTTGAATAATCTCTCTTTTCCTTATTATTTGTAGTTGCTGGCTTAATAATATCAAAGGCCCGTGTGCCAATGGATTTGTTTCTGGACCTCTGTTCCAGTCATTTATTAATTCATTCATTATTTGGTTCATTTCTGTACTGTTGCAACATTGTGTTCATTACTGGTAGTGTCACTTCTGCCCAGTATCATTCTTTTCTAAAAAAATTTTTTATTGTTTCCATATTTTTAATGTTCTGGGTGTAGTCAACCTGTCAGGTTCTGCTGTAGAAAATTCTACTGAGATCGTGTTTGGAATTGCATTAAATTTATAGGTCAGTGCAGAGAGAATTGATGTTTTTACAATAATGGTCTTTTCCATTTAGAAACATGGTGTCTCCCCATTTATTTGGGCTGCTTTAATGTATTTTAGTAAGGTTTTATAATTTTCTTCAAGTAAGCCTTCAGTGTTTTTTGTTTAAGGAATATTTCATGCCTCAGCTATTCTCTCCTTTTTTAAAAAAATGTATAGTATTCTACAATGTAACTTTAAAATCATTTTATCTAATTCTCCAAAGATGTTTTATTGACATATTCTGATTTAAATTACATTAAATTTCTATAATAATTTAAGCGGGTTGACATCTTTATATCAATTCTTTCTATCCAGGAGTTTAGTTTCTCTAGTCTTCTATTCATGACTTGATCAACTCACTATTTAAACTTTTCTCTGATACATGAAAAGGGATTTGTTTAATTTTGACAGGAAAAAAATCCTCTCAAATGTATTTTTAATCTTCACTGTCTTTTTCCAGGCTGTCTCAGCACTGATTCAGCCCTTAGGAGTGTGTGCAGAGTACCTCAATTCCTCCGTGGTACAGGTAGGATTAAACCATTTCACATTACTTCATATGATTGAAGACATGCAAACAGTAATAACTTCTTTTTATCAGGTTATTCAGAGTGGTCTTTAATCCAGAGTAACTCCTTTTTTCACATTAGCTGTCCTTTTAATAAAAATGCCATCAGATAATAAAAATTGTTGAATAATTTGAAGTATAGGAGACCTAACATTTGAGAAGGCCATTTACCTTTTCAGTTTATCATTTTATAAAATATAATTTTTATTTATTTTTCATTTTCTTATCTATAAAGTAGGCAGCATATCCTTATTTGCTTCACAGGATTATTTAAGGATTTAATGCCATTATGTATTGAATCAGATTAGTATTTATGTATTAAATCGGCTAGGCTCACTTACTGGCTCAGTTGCTCACTTCTGAATACCAGCTTAACAGCACATCTTGTCTGATTTCCTACCTCCGTAGGATTGTAAGTCAGCAGGTCATAGAACAGTCAAAGCTGTGAGTGTTCAGTTTTCTAATGCTAAAAGCCTATTCTGCTATCCTGTTTCCTTCATTTCAGTTAACAAGTTTTACCGAACAAAATGTCACGTTGAAATACTTCTGTTTATTTATTTTTATAAATAAGTCTGTGGACCCTATAACTTCTATAGAGCTTTTAAAAAATCACCATAAATGGTTTTGAAAGCACAGTGTCCTTCTGGAGCAGTGTTTTTAAATGCACTGTTCTTTCCAACATCACATTTACTTAGGGCCATTTTAATAAGGGAGATAGGATTTTTTTTTAGTAGGTTCTGGAAATTTCTGTTATTTCTTTTTTCTTTTCTTTTCTTTTTTTTTTTTTCCAGACAGAGTCTCGCTCTGTTGCCCAGGCTGGAGAGCAGTGGTGTGATCTCGGCTCACTGCAACCTCTGTCTCCCAGGTTCAAGCGATTCTCCTGCCTCAACCTCTTGAGTAGCTGGGACTACATGCACGTGCCACCATGCCCGGCTAATTTTTGTATTTTTAGTAGAGATGGGGTTTCACCATGCTGGCCAGGCTGGTCTCAAACTCCTGACCTCGTGATCCACCCACCTCGGCCTCCCAAAGTGCTGGGATTACAGGCATGAGCCACTGTACCTAGCCAATTTCTGTAATTTCTAAATGTTAAATGCTTTCTTTAGATGTCAAGGTAATCCTGCAAGAGTTTTAGGTGAAATAGGATGGCTGTTTACATATTTCTCCATTCTGTATATTAAAACCTTTAGAAACAGCTAATGTTCCTTCAGTTTATTAAGCATATAAATATCATTAATTTCATAGTTGAAACACTAAGACATAAAGAGGCAAAGTGATTGGACTTTTTAATATTTTAATAATAAACATTAATACTTTAATAATCAGGGTCAGGATTGGGTTTTAAACACATGCTCTTTGCTCATGCCTTGCTATGTGGAAGAGAATTTAGCATAAATACCCCAGCTGCTAACTAATATTAAGGTCTTTAGAAATTCCAGATTTTATATATGTAAACAGAGTGTACCTTAAAAAGAACAAGAAGTGTATGAATTCCCAACCAAGCACATCTGACTTCATCTTTATTTTAATTATGTCAAACCATCCAAAATTAAATTCATTCAGCAATAAACTCATATAATACATGTTACTTACATAACAGTTGTCTCTACTACTTGCTACTTGTATGACTTCAGAAGACTCTTATTTAACTTGTATGCCTCAATTTCCTAATCTGTGGAATGGCCATAATAGTAATAGCTGTCTCAAGAGTTGCAGTAAGGATTAAACAGCATGTGCTGAAAAGAGCACTATGACTCTCTTAACCATAACAGCTCGCTCTCCTTCCTATACAATTGGCATTAAGTGTAAAAGAAGAAATTCTATCTGGATAACTGCCTGATGTCATTTTAGCTCATTGCTAATGTATTCTTGGCTTTGACAGCCAAATATTGTTTATCTCTTTCTTCATCAGCTAAGTTTTAAATATTTTCTTACTTAGATGGAAGTGGTAATTTAGATGTATTAATAGCTAATACTTTACCATTCTCACATACTCTTCAGAGTTAGTTTTCTGGTTGTGTTACCATTCTGGAGCAGTGTATTGTATGAATTTCATCTATAGGCCTCATTCACATCAGTAAGCAAAAATCGTTCATATGACAGCATAATTTCCATGGTCTGTGTTTATATTCAGTTTTAAAAATCAAGCACAAAATATTTATTATAAAAACAATTCATGCTGTGTTTTAAAAGTTAGACTGTGTGTCTTGAGTCACTCTTCAAAATTACCTTTATAAGATAGTAATGACAGAAAATGTACTCAT